>NC_000006.12:17181212-17332727 GCF_000001405.40 Homo sapiens
ATTTCTTGTGAAGGATAGGTTGGATCTAGGGGCTTGATCACAAAGAGGATGAATTTTTTCAAGAGTGCTTCGTAAGTGGTGATATGTGCTTCCATCAGAAGAATATAACATCAAGTCATTTCTCTTTGTGTGATGTTGGCAGGCACTGATGATAAATACACAGACCCTTTAATGCATTAAGAGATGCAAAGTGATAATATTGTATCAATTATTTCCATGTATTAGCTGGAGTAATTCTATAAAGAGAAATTTGTCTGTCTTAGCTTGGGCTATTAAAACAAAAATACCACCGATTGGGTGGCTTATCAACAAGAGAAATTTATTTCTTACAGTTCTGGAGGCTGGAAATTCATAGATCAAGGTGCCAGCGATTCAATGACTGATGAGGGCCCACTTTCTGGCTTATAGATGGCCTTCATCTCAGTGAGTCCTCACATGACACAGGTGGGTGAATGAGCTCTCTAGAGCTTCTTTTATAAGGACGCTAATCCCACTCATGACCCCCTTCCAGACCAAATCCCCTACCAAGGGCCATTTCACTGGGGGTTAGGATTTCAACATAAGAATTTTGGGGGAACACAAATATTTGGTCTATAGAATTCCCCTCAACTACCATTTAGTTACCCAGTGGTACAGCTCATATAGGACCATCAGATAAATTCTTGATTATTTTCCTTTGTTTATTGGTTTTTACATTAATGAGCTGGTTCACTAGCATTCTCTAAGGGAGACCAATGGACAATAGTTCAAGTTGCCTTTTTTCTGTATTATTATGAACTTGTGGATTTTAAGATATTTTATGTGTTTCAATCCATTGCAGTTACTATCCTTAATAATTTCTTTTTTTTTTTTTTTTTTTTTTGAGATGGTGTCTCACTCTGTCACCCAGGCTGGAGTGCAGTGGTGCGATCTCGGCTCACTGCAACCTCCGCCTCCCGGGTTCAAGCGATTCTCCTGCCTCAGCCTCCTGAGTAGCTGGGACTACAGGTGCATGCCACCATGCCTGGCTAATTTTTGTATTTTTAGTAGAGATGGGGTTTTGCCATGTTGGCCAGGCTGGTCTTGAACTCCTGATCTCAGGTGATCCGCCCACCTGGGCCTCCCAAAGTGCTGGGATTACAGGCGTGAGCCACTGCACCCAGCCTCTTAATAATGTTAAAATTGTCTAAACTTTAGCCAAGGGAAGCTTCTTCAGGTTGTTTCCTGGGGTCCTTTTAACATGACTTGGTAATCTTTGATCTCTTCCTTTCATCTTTGCTCTCTGATCCAGAAAGACATTCAGGCTCTTCCAGTACAGTTCCTGACCCAGACCTGGAATCAGTCATTTCTTCAAGTAACTTTGTTTCCTTTTAGTGGGAAATGAAATTGCACTATCACAGTTTAGTTGCTGGGGATATTTATTGCTATGAGCTTGATCATTATTTTCTCAGTATTTCCACAGACAGAACTAGAAAACTGTTCTGTTTTTTTTTTACGTAAAATGTCATGAGAACATATTGATACTTCCAATTCAAATTCAGAAGTGAAGGGTTTATTTAAACTTTTCTATCTTAAATATGTCCTTTCTCCCATACCAGTAAAACTGACTGTCAGTGACAGAGAAAAATACAATTAGTGAAAACACCTTTGCAAAACTATGACACTAAGAGAAATCTGACATGGTTGACTCCATCTTGCTTCTAATCTCCAAATTGCCCTTGGTCATTCCTGGGGGTAGGCCAAGTTAATTTGGGGAAAAATGTAGTTTATAGTTTAAGTTTGAAAGCAAGGAAGATAATAGTCCCTTCCTAAAACTAACCCCTACCTTGCTCAGGGATTAAAAACTACTTTGTAAGACTAATGAAAGGTCACAAGATTAGGATCATGGGAGGGGCCTGAATTCTGCTAAAATATAGGCATAATTTCTATAATCCCTTAGTGCTCAGGGCTCAGGAGTCATGTGGTCAGAGATCACAAGATTTATGACTTCCCTACTTGCTCCCTATAAATAACATCACTATTGAAGAACCTAAGATTGGTCTTTTGAGATGTATTTTAGACATGTGCATTCTGGCAACCAACTAACCCCACCTGGACTTGTGACTCATGACTCTGCTGTGGGGTCCCGTGGCCCCCATCTAGAGGCAGACACAGCACACGAGGACCATTTTCCACAGCCCTAAGATGGCATCCCCAACCAATCAGCAGCACCCATCCCCTGTCCCACCAAACTATCCTTGACAAATTCTAACCTCCCAGCCTTCAAGGAGATTGATTTGAGTAATAACTCTGTCTCCCTCGTGGCTGGCCTCAGGTCAGTTAAACTCTTTGCTGCGATGCCACAGTCTCGGTGGATTGATTTTGTCTGTGCAGCAGGCAGGAGGAACCCACTGGACAATTACATTAGAATAGCACAGCTGTCTTAGAGAAGGAATGCCAGCACTCGCCAATGATATGAATACTATAACCATTTTAAATTTCCTCCCATTATATTTGTCCTTAAGATATATCCCACTAGAATGTATAATCAAATTATTGTTTTTAAAGTCTCTTAGAATAGTTCTCTGTCATGTGAACTATTCTTCACATCTTCCAGAATGTACAGAGTGTAGATCTGAGAGGTCTGAGGAAGGCCAAGCCAGAACGGAGGTAAAGGACCTGTCTAAAGAAGGACCATATTCCTTCCAGGAGAATCAGATGCACTCACATCCAACTTAAAATCCTGCCGCTTCCTTCATTTACACCCTCTAACTCCTCATTTCCCTATCATCTCACCCCATGTTCAGCTATGCCAATGCTGCCTCTCAGATTTATTAAAAATGTTTCTATACCTTTGATGCAGTAATTTCATTTCTGATCATTTATATGTAAATTAGGCAAAGAAGGAAAAAACACTTATGCCACGAAGATTTTAACAATTCATGGACTGAAAGATAGTTCTTAAACTTTAAAATGAAAAAAATTTTTCCTAAAGAACTTATGTAGAATGTAGATTCTGGCCAGGCACAATGGCTCATGTCTGTAATCCTAGCATTTTGGGAGACATAGGCCAGTGGATCACTTGAGTTCAGAAGTTCCAGACCAACCTGGGGAACATGGTGAAACCCCATCTCTACCAAAAATACAAAAAATTAGCTGGGTGTGATGGCACACACTTGTGGTCTCAGCTACTTGGGAGGCTGAGGCAGGAGGATTGCTTGAGCCTGGGAGGGGAAGGTTGCAGTGAGCTGAGATCACACTGCTACACTCCAGTCTGGGCGACAGAGCAAGACCCTGTCTCGAAATAAAATAAAATTAAATAAAATTAAAAATAAAAATAAAATAAATCAAATAGAATTGTCAATGAAAAGAGTCGAACTCTGTAAAATATTTGAAGAGATTTATTCTGAGCCAAATATAAGTGACCATGGCCTATGACACAGCTCTCAGGTCGTCCTGAGAACATGTGCCCAAGGTGGTCGGGGGGCAGCTTGGTTTAATATATTTTGGAGAGGCACAAGACATCAATCAAACACATTAAGAAATACTTTGGTTGGCTGGGCATGGTGGCTCATGCCTGTAATCCCTGCACTTTGTGAGGCCGAGGCAGGTGGATCACCTTAGGTCAGCAGTTTAAGACCAGCCTGGTCAACATGATGAAACCCCGTCTCTATTAAAAATACAAAAAAATTAGCCGGGCATGGTGACAGGTGCCTGTAATCCCAGCTACTCGGGAGGCTGAGGCAGAAGAATGACTTGAACCCAGGAGGTAGAGGTTGCAGTGAGCCAAGATCGTGCCACTGCACTGCAACCTGGGCGACAAGAGTGAAACTCCATCTCAAAAAAAAAAAGAAAGAAAAAGAAAATACATACATTGGTTTGGTCTAGAAAGGCAGGACAACTCAAAGCAGGGTGGGGCCGGGGTGGGGCACCTCCAGGCTATAGGTGAATTTAAACATTTTCTGGTTGACAATTGGTTGAGTTTGTCTAAAGACCTGGGATTCTTAGAAAGGAAACGTTCAGGTTAAGATAAAGATTGTGGAGAATCAAAGTTCTTCTGAAGTCTTATATGGCTGCCCTTAGAGGCAATAGATGACAAATGTTGCCTATTCAGATCTTAGTTAATCTCTTTAGGATTGGGAGGGTCTGGAAGAAAACGATCTAGCTATATTAATAAAGATTCTTTACAGATGCAACTTTTCCCCCACAAAGAACAGCTTTGCAGGGCCATTTCAAAATATAGCAAAGAAACATGTTTTGGGGTAAAATATTTTGATTTTTTTCCTTGCCTCATAATGTATGCCAGAGTCAGGTTGGAAAGTAAGTCAATATATAGGGTTAAATAAAACCCATCTGATGAGAATTTATGATTTGTAGGGCATGACTTCCCAGACACCTTAGATAGGAATTTGGGCAAGACAAAAAAAAAAAAATCAGAGTTTAGTCCTCAGAATATAGATTCTATTTGCGGCTTTTAAGCACATTCCCTTGACCACTGAGAAACAAAAATAAAATTCTGAGCCCCCCAACTTACTGAATGGATCCACTCTTGGCCAAGGATACCCCCAGAGAAATTTTGGAGGCTAAATTCACAGCCATGATGGCATGGGAAATCGAACGTGCTTCATTATATCCCCTCCGTTGATAACAGTCATGGGTTTTCTTCTCTAACGGCTAAATAAAAACCAGCTTTTTCAAAAGACTACTAACTTATTTTCCCAGATAAAGAACAAAGATTAGATTAATCATTCCTTCACCTCTCCCTGAGATAGATGAGATTAATCGTTCTTTTACTCCTCCCTGAGCCATCTGCTTCTTCTATTCCCTTTTTCTTCAAATGTTCACCTTATGTTATGTAAAATGTAGATTTTCTGGACACTCATCGAAGTTTCACAAGTATGCAATCAGTTGTCTCACTGCCATCCCCCCCACCCTTTTTAAGGAAAGTGAATAAATATTGAACCTCTTAAGAATCTTTTTGGAAGAAACAGCCACAGACACTTCAATGACTTGTGTTTTTCCAGGGGACACCATCAAGCTGGCTTAATAACCCTCGATGATTTGAAACTTATGCCTCAATTGCTCATTTTGGTTGTCACCACCAATTATGTTGAGCACTTTTTCATGTGTCTATTGACATTTTTATTTCCTTTTGTGTGAAGTGCCTCATTTATGTAGGGGTTTTCTCATTTTTTTCTATGGATTCTCAGTTCTTGCCTTATTGATTTGTAGGAATTTTTAACATAGTCAAGATACTAGCCTTTTGTGGTAATACATGTTGCAACTATTTTCTTCTACTCTGTGTTTTGCCTTTTTACTCTCTTTATGATGCTGTTTCATAAACGAAATTTTTCATTTTATTATAATGTTATGTTTGTCAACTTTTTTCCTACATGATTAAGAAATTCTTCCCTGCTCTTGGGTCATTGAAGTCTTTCTATCTTCTATGGGACGTATAATTTTACTTTTCACATTTAGCTCTCTTAGCCTCCTAGAATTGATTTTTATGTATGATATGAGGTAAGCCTCAACTTTTACCTTTTTCCATATGGATGTCTACTAGTCCCAGAACTATCATTCGAAAAGCCCATTTTCCCCCACTGATATACAAAGTGACCCTCATCACAAAAATTTTCTAAATAAGCATATTTATTTCTGGGGTCTCCATTCCATCAGTCTGTTTATCTCTCCCTGTATCAATGCCATGCTATGTAAATGCCACAGTTTATATCATATACTTTTCTTATACTTTTCTTCAGAAGTATAACAGCAAATGCTATACTTAATGTTTTTAGTGGGTTTGTTTTTGCATTTTCATTTGTATTTTCATATATTTTAGAAGTAGTGAATCAATTTCAATACATAATCTGCTGTAACTTATATCAGGATTGAAAGGAACGTGTAGTTCAATTTAGAGAAAATTGGTATGCTTAAGTAATACTAAATCTTCTAATCCATGAACATGGTATATCTCTTCATTTCTTTATTTTCTTAGATGCTCAATAAAGTTTTATTATTTTCTCTATAAAGGTCTCCTACACATTTTTAAAACCATTAATTTCTAGGTATGTTTAAATGTTCATGTTAAAAATATCCTTTTTCTTTCATTTTCTCATTGTTTGTAGCTACCACACAAAATGTAAATATTGCTCATTAAATTTGTATTCGGCAAAATTGCTAAACTCTTTAATTCATTCTAATAACTTCTCTATAAGTCATTTGCATTTTCTATGTAAATTATTATATTATTTACAAAGAGCTACAGTTTTGTTTCTTCCTTACCAATCTTAATACTTTTTATTTATTTTTCCTGTCCTAATGTTCCAGCTTGAACCTCTGGTACAACAGAAGTGGTGATAGTAGATGTCCTTGTCTCATTCTGACCAAAGGGAAAGTTTTTATTTTTCATTGCTAAGTATAACATTTGCTATAGATTTGTTAGATGTCCTGATAAACATAAGAAAGTTTCATTTATTATTAGCTTGCTGAAAGTATTTTCTAAATTCTTATAAATTGATGTGGAATTTCATCAAACATGTCGTTTGTTTTAATCTATCAAGAAAATAATGTGGTGTACCTTCTGTAAAGATTGAATGTCACTTTGGGAGGCCAAGGCGGGTGGATCACGAGGTCAGGAGTTCAAGACCAGCCTGGCCAACATAGTAAAACCCAGTCTCTACTAAAAATACAAAAATTAGCGGGGTGTGGTGGCACTCACTTGTAGTCCCAGCTACTCGGGAGGCTGAGGCAGAGAATTGCTTGAACCCGGGAGGCGGAGGTTGCAATGAGCCGAGATTGCGCCACTGCACTCCATCCTGGGTGACAGAGCAAGACTCCGTCTCAAAGAAAAAAAAAAAAGATTGAATGTGGTGGATTACATCCATTGATTTTTCTGATGTTAAACCATCTTGCATTCCTAGAACAAACCTAACTTGGTCATGATGTGTTGCCCTTTATAAAATATATATGGTCTTGATTTTTGTAAGGATTTGTATATTTCATTCATTCATCCTCTTAACAAATGTTTATTGATCACATACAGTGTGCTAGGCACATTTCCACATCAACAAAACAAACCAGAGTCCTTGCCATTGTGGAGATAAAATTCTGTCAACAAGAGACAGAAGGTATAATTAAATACAATTCACAAGTCTTATTCCAGGTATTAGAAAGTGAAAAGTACTATGGAATTTTTTAAATGGAACAGAAAGGGGGATAGGGAGATCCAGGGATAATTTGGGAAGGTACAGTGGAATAATGTGGTAAGAGAAGGTCTTATCGAAAAGTAACAGCTAAGAAAATATTTTAAAGAGATAAGGGCGGCCGGGCGCGGTGGCTCAGGCCTGTAATCCAGCACTTTGGGAGGGCGAGGCAGGCGGATCATGAGGTCAGGAGATCGAGACCATCCTGGCTAACACGGTGAAACCCTGCCTCTACTAAAAAATACAAAAAATTAGCTGGGCGTGGTGGTGGGCGCCTGTAGTCCCAGCTATTCGGGAGGCTGAGGCAGGAGAATGGCGTGAACCTGGGAGACGGAGCTTGCAGTGAGCGAAGATCGTGCCACTGTACTCCTGCCTGGGCGACAGAGCGAGACTCTGTCTCAAAGGAAAAGAAAAAAGAGATAAGGGCATTAGCCATGTGGATAACAAGAATATGTGCAAAGAGGCCAGTGTAGCTAGTCTGGAGTGAGCAATGAGAGGACCAATAGGTGAGGTGGTCAGAGGAGCTAAAGGGCTAGATCATATGGGGACTTGTAGACCACTGAAGGAATTGTGAAATGGGGTACTGCAGGGTTTTGAGCAGAAGTATGGCATGACATGATTTTCACCTTAAAGGGACCGCTCTTAAAGCCTTGTTGAGAATAGATTATAGGAAGGCAGACATGAAAAGAGCAGGACCAATTACGAAGCTATTACAATAATCCAGGTGCAAGATAATAGTGGTTCAGGTAAGGTAAACAGTGGAAGTGGTGAGTAATGGTTAAAATCTGGATATATTTGAAGACTAAGACAACAGAATTTCCTGATGAATTGGATGTGTGGTGTGAGGAGGAAATAAAAGAGGAATTAAAACCAACTCTATTTTTGTTTTACATGTGTGGCTAGAAGAATGGTTTGGCAGATGAAATCCAAAGTTCCTTTTGGTATGTGTTGAGTTTGAGGTTTCTGTCATGAAGCCAGGTAGAGCTATCAACCAGGCAGTTGAATCTGGAAATTGGGAGAAAAGTCCAGACTAGAGGTAGAAATTTGGGAGTTCTTGGCATATAGATGGTATTTTTAAATTAATGGTAATGATGATATTGCCAAGGAAGTATGTGTACATAGAAATAAGAAGAGGAGGCCAGGTGCAGTGGCTCACACCTTTAATCCCAGCACTTTAGGAGGCCGAGGTAGGTGGATCATGAGGTCAGGAGATCAAGAACATCCTGGCTAACACGGTGAAACCCCGTCTCTACTAAAAATACAAAAAATTGTCCAGGCATGGTGGTGGGTGCCTGTAGTCCCAGCTACTTGTGAGGCTGAGGCAGGAGAATGGCGTGAATCCGGGAGGGGGAGCTTGCAGTGAGCCAAGATCGCACCACTGCACTCCAGCCTGGGCAACAGAACAAGACTCCACCTCAAAAAAAAAAAAAAAAGAAATAAGAAGAGGCAAACCAAGTGTTCACCTTGTTGAACTCCAACATTAAGAGTTTGGGGAGAAGAGGAAAAATCAACAAAAGGGACAAAGAATAAGCAGACAATGAGATAGGTGGGGAATCTGGCAACTACCCTATCTTGGAAGCCAAAGAAAAGTGTATTTCTAGAAAACAGAAAAAACTTACCCTTATTCTGTCAAATGCTGTTGATAGGTTAGGTAAGATGGTGATAGAGGTTGACCTTAGATTTAGCAAGGTTATTCGTGCCCATAAAAAGAACTATTTTGATAGAGTAGTAGGAGAAAAGGCATGAGTGCATGGAGACAGAATGGAAGGAGAGGACATAGTCAGAGAATATAGATAAACACTTGAAGAAATATGGAAATGAGTAACTGGAGGAAGAAGTTTGAATGTTGATGGAAATAACTTGGTAAAAGAGTAAAATACTGACTATGTAGCAAAGAGGGGAGAACTAGTAAAGAAATGTCCTTAACTAGAAGAGAAGGATAGGATGCAGTGCAAAAATAGAAGGATTATGTTTTGGGGGGGCGCTGTTTATTTATTTTTGAGACAGGGTCTCGCTGTGTCACCCCGACTGGAATGCAGTGGCACAAACATGGCTCACTGCAGGCTGGACCTTCCAGGTTCAAGCAATCCTCCCACCTCAGCCTCCCAAGTAGCTGGGACTACAGTTGCATGCCACTACATCTAGCTAATTTTTAAATTTTGGGGGAGATGGGGGTCTCACTATATTGCCCAGGCTGTTCTTGAACTCCTGGGCTCCAGTGATCCTCGTGCCTCATCCTCCCAAAATGTTGGGATTACAAGCATGAGCCACTGCCCCTGGCTGGGACTGGGTTTAGATAGGAGCATGGAAAAATCTATTATATTTAACAGGCAGGAAATACATGGGTGTAGATGAGAATACTTGCACGGGAGTAGGTTCTGTAGTAGAGGACTGTGGAAGTTCTGATTATTTCAAGTTTCTCAGCAAAGTAAGAAACGAGGGCATTAGCTTAAGGTCTAGAGTTTTAGATATTTTAGAAAAAAGTTGCTCATATTATCATCTTTTTACTTGTAAAATAACTACAGCATCAGAAGTGGAAACTCATTTTCATCCCTGTCATTGGTTATTTATACCTTATTTTTCTGTTCTTATGTCTTCATTTGTTGTCTACTTTATTTATTTCTTTACTTTATTTCCTGTCTCTAACTTCTGGGGGCAAGGGTATTTTGCTGATTGTATTCTGATTTGTGATAGATGCTTAGCTCATTCATTTTCGGCCACTCTTCTTGTCTAATATATTTTTAAGATTTAAAATTTTTTATTATGAAATGTGTTAGCTACCTTCTATAAGCAATTAAATACGTACTAGTTTTCAGTTCAAAATATTATCTAATTTCTAATACAGTTCCTTCTTTGACCTGTGTTTTATGTTGAAGTATATTTTTTAATTTCTAAAACTATGAGCTTTTCTACTTATTTTTATTATTTATTTTTAGCTTACTTGCATTGCAATTGAGCCAAGCTTTGTAAAATTTCAGTTCTTCACAGTTTATTAGGACTCACTGTATGACCTTGTTTTTTTTCCTTTGCTATAAATGTTCTGTGTATGCTAGGGAAAAATGGGTTAGTGGGTGCAGTTTTCTAGCTATGTTTATTAGGTCAAGTTTATTAATCATGCTATTAAAAGATTCTATAGCTTATCTAATTCTTATGAGCCAAATTTATCACTCAGGGGCGTATGCCAAAACCTTCTGCTGTGGCTGTGGATTTCTCTCTTTTTTTCCCCTTAAATTTCAGTTAATATATGTTTACTGTATGTTTAGATTAGGTAATTAAGTTATACTGCTTAAATGTATTATCTTTTAATTTGAACTTTTAGTTCATTTACATTTAATGTAATTGGTAACATATTTTGACTTATATAAACCATATTATTTTTTGCTTTGTATTTTTTCAACCCATTCTACATTTTTAAAAAATCCTGGCATACCTACTTAATAAAGCCTGATGTTAATCAACAGGCATCCTCCTCTGGACAGTAACAAAAACAAAGAAACTTAGAACACTATTAACTCTATTAACTCTGCTTCCAACTTGCATATTGTGGTGAATATATATTAACTCTATCATATTTGTAACCCCTTAATATATTTCTTTATTGTTTCACATGCTTTTTGTTCCATCTTGCATCTCAGATTTTCCATCTGGAATTACTTTCCATCTGCCTGAAGCTTATTCTTTACAATTTCCTTTAGTGAGCATCTGCTTGTGGCAAACTTTCTCAGCTTTACTCGTCTAAAAATGCATTTATGTTGTCCTCATTCTTGATAGATATTTTCATCCGGTCTACAATCCTAGGTTGGCTGTTTTTTGTATTTTTTTAATGCACTGACAATATCATTTTACTTCCCACTGGCTTCTCCTGTTACTACTGAAAAGGCTGCTATAAGTAATGCTGGTCCTTTAAAGGTGAGGGTAGATGGCTCCCAATGAATCCCAGCTCCTGGTATTCCTCCCAGATGGAAAGAGAGCCCCCTCTGTCCCAGGGATCAGAGATGAGCCTAGCTTTCAGCCAACTCCCTTGAATAACCAAACAAGTGAGCTCAGGTGAAACTAGCAGAGGAATCTTTCAGCCAACCTACAGAATCATTTTAAAAAATAATAAATCATTGTTGTTTTAAGTCACTAAGGTTTGGGGTGACTAGTTATATGGCAACATATAACCTAAAAAGAAATTGCCAACTAGAACTGCAATGTTGTAGTAACAAAATCCTAAAGGTAGGCAAACAAACAACAAAAATCTTAAATGTATGATATTGGCTTTGGAACTGGACAGTGGGCGAAGGCTGAAAACCTGGCTGGAAAATTGTTAATGAAGCCTGGACGGGCTGCAAACAAACTATGAGTGGAGGCTGGAAAAGCAGGGAGGAACTCCTTATTGGAAACTGTTAAGTGGGTACTCATTGTTTTGTATAGTGAAACAATTGTGTCTTATCCCATTCAGGCTGCTGTAACAAAATATAGTAAACTAGGTGGCTTATCAACAACAGAAATTTACTTCCCACAGTTCTGGAGGCTGGGGAGTCCAGGATAAAAGCTGACAGATTCAGTGTCTGGTGAGAGCCCACTTTGTGGTTCATAGACAGCTATCTTCTCACTCAGTCCTCACATGGTGAAGAGGTAAGAGGGTCTGTAGTCTCTTTTTAAGGGCACTAATCCCTTTCCTGAGGGAAGAACCCTCTTGACCTAATCACCTCCAAAAGCCCTACCTCCTAATACCATCATTTTGGGGACCGGGATTTCAACATATACATTTGAGGGGAACACAAACATTCAGATGATAACAAATTGGCAACACTCTTGCCTGCAGTAACTTGGAAGAGGGGAAAATGGACCTCACTTAGATACAGTTGTAGCTGTAGCTAAAATGTCCAGCAGAATGCTGAAAGTATTATTTGGCCTCCTTTAGCTGCATATGATAAGACACATGGTATACATGATAAGAGAGAGGAACTAGAAAGAACTTTTCAGTCCGCAAGTAGAATTTAGAGGAAATCTAGAGTGCCCAGGACTTACTGGATTGTGAAATAAAATTGTTTCTCATCCTCAGTCTCTCCAGCCAGTAAAAAATTCTCTGAGTAAAACATGCTTACGATAAAGAGGAAATCCATGTGTGGCAGTAAATTCCTTTATTAAGATCCCACAAAGAGTTAAGGCAGTACTTAGTAGATCCCATTAGCTAGACAAATGGACTTCTATGAATCATAAGGGTAGTGACCCACAATAGCTTGATGTGCCCAGTGTAGACAGAGGTCTGTTTTGGCCTCTTGGGGCCTCATGGCTTTTGGAACATGGAATAAATTCCATCTAGAGTCATAAGAAACCAAACATATTTTTAAGGAAATTGTGCCTGCTTGAACTCAAAGCAATAAAGAATAGCTCAAAAGAAAGGCTGTTTCTGAGCCCCCAATCATCTACAGGCAGAAA
Organism: Homo sapiens; assembly: GCF_000001405.40. Classification (NCBI taxonomy): domain Eukaryota; kingdom Metazoa; phylum Chordata; class Mammalia; order Primates; family Hominidae; genus Homo; species Homo sapiens. The sequence goes on from NC_000006.12 coordinate 17,193,800, forward strand.
AAGGCTGAGAATGTCACTCAGCTGCAAACATGGGCCATTTTCTATCAAAAAGGAGAAATGTCCGAGGTTAGACCCAAGGGTCCAGAGGGTGTCACCAAGAACTTAAAAGAACAACGCTATGATATTATGATATAAGAAATATGTATTTGGTCTCTGCCCCTAGTTCTTGGCACACAGGTCCTAAAACTCTTGTAATCTCCCAAATAGTAAAAGTCTTTTGTATGCTAAGGAGGTGACTGGCTGGCAGCTGCTAGCTAGCTTTAGAATGAGGTTGGTCACCAGAAAGATCAAGGCAGGATTAAAAGGTTGGGACTTTCAGCCCCATCTCACCCCCAAACTCTGGGGAGGAAGAAGAGGATGAAGGTTCTGTTCATCACCAGTGGCCAAGGATTTCATCAGTCATGGCTATGTAATGAAGCCTCCATACAAACCAAAATGGGCAGCGTTCACAGAAGCTTCCAGACAGCTGAACATGTTGAGGTTCCTCTAGTGTGGTGCCCAAGGAAGGGCATGGAAGCTCCACATCTCTTCTCATACCTTACACTATGTATCTCTTCCATCTGGCTGTTCATTTGTATTTTTTATAATAAATGAGTAAACATAAGTGTTTCCCTGAGTTCTAATTGAACCTGAGGAGGGGGTCATAGGAACCCTGATTTAGAGCCAGTCAATCAGAAGCACAGGTCATAACATGGGGCTTATGATTGGCATCTGAAGTGGGGGCAGTCCTCTGGAACTGCACCTTTAACCTACGGGAGCTGATGCTATCTCCAGGTAGCTAGCGTCCGAATGAATTAGATTATTAGACACCCAAATGGTATCTGCTGGAGAATTTCTTGGTGTGTAGGGAAAACCCCCACACACATCTGATGTCAGAAGTGTTGAGTAGTGTATGAGAGCAGGAAAAATAAGTTTTTGTTTATTTTTTTAGACAGGGTCTCACTCTGTCACCCAGGCTGGAGTGCAGTGGCACAATCATAGCTCACTTCAGCCTCAAATTCCTGAACTCAAGCAACCCTCCGACGTCAGCCTCCTGAGTAGCTGGGGCTACAGATGCACACCACCATGCCTAATTTGTTTTTTTTTTCTTTTCTTTGAGATGGAGTTTCACTCTGTCACCCAGGCTGGAGTGCAATGGCACGATCTCGGCTCACTGCAACCTCCGCCTGCCGGATTCGAGCAATTCTCCTGCCTCAGCCTCCTGAGTAGCTGGGACTACAGGCACGCGCCACCATGCCCGCCTAATTTTTTGTATTTTTAGTAGCGATGGGGGGTGAGGGGGTGGGGTTCACCATGCTGGCCAGGCTGGGCTTGAACTTCTGACCTCGTGATCCACCCACCTCGGCCTCCCAAAAAACTGGGATTACAGACGTGAGCCACTGCACCCAGCCGGTTTCATTTTCATATTGTAGAGTTGGGGTCTTGCTATGTTAGCCAGGCTGGTCTCAAACTCCTGGCCTCAAGTGTTCCTCCTGCCCCAGCCTCCCAAAGTGCTGGGATTACAGGAGTGAGCCATTGCACTTGGCGTAAAATGTTTTTTTGTTTTTTTTCTATAATTTGAAAATGCTCTAGGGATCAACTCCTAGAGAGTAGAACCAATTCCTGATCATCAAGAAATATTCCAGGCCGGGCACGGTGACTCATGCCTGTAATCCCAGCACTTTGGGAAGCCAAGGTGGGTGGATCACCTGAGGTCAGGAGTTCATGACCAGCCTGGCCAACATGGTGAAACCCTGTCTCTACTAAAAATACAAAAACTAGCTGGGTGTGGTGGCACATGCCTGTAGTCCTAGCTACTCCTACTAGGGAAGCTGAAGGAGGAGAATCGCTTGAACCCAGGAGGCAGAGGTTGCAGTGAGCCAAGATCATGCCACTGCACTTCAGCCTGGGTGACACAGCGAGACTCCATCAAAAAAAAAAAAAAAAGAAAAGAAAAGAAAAAAAGAAAAAGATATATCCCATGCCCTTGGAATAGGAAAACCTGACCCCTGACATTAGAGCAGCTGAATTTCAGAATTGTTATGAAAGAGTGACTGGCAGATACCTCTTTCCCTTTTTTTTTTTTTTTTTTTTTGAGATGGTGTCTTACTTTGTTGCCCAGGCTGGAGTGTGGTGGCATGATCTCAGCTCACTACAACCTCCGCCTCCTAGGTTCCAGCGATCCTCCCACCTCAGCCTCCCAAGTAGCTGGGACTACAGGCGTGTGCCACAATGCCCAGCTAATTTTTGTATTTTTAGTAGAGATGGGGTTTCACTATGTTGACCAGGCTGGTCTCGAACTCCTGACCTCAGGTGATCTGCCCGCCTGTGCCTCCCAAAGTGCTGGGATTACCAGTGTGAGCCACTGCACCCGGCCTTTTCCTCCCTTTTTAATGAGAGTAAATACTGACTCATCTCACCATTTTATATTTGGTGTGAAAGAGGCAGATGATTTTTTGTTCACAGGCCTCTAAATCAAGAGGAGTTACATCTGAGGATCTGCACCCAAAGGAGTCTCCTCTGCATCCAGACCTAATACAGATCACAAGATGATGGACTTTGAGTCTGATACTATTATTTGGGTGATACTTTGAGTCCTGGCAAAAGGTGAATTTATTTTCCATGAGGGAGGGAATTGAATCATGGAGGCCAGAAAACAGAATGTGGTTGATTGAAATACACTTGACCCTGAAACAACACAGGTTTGAATTGTGCTGGTTCATTTATATGCATATTTTTTTCTTTTCTTTCTTGCTTGCTTTCTTGTTTTTTTTTTTTTTTTTTTTTTTTGGAAATGGAGTTTCGCTCTTGTCGCCCAGGCTGGAGTGCAGTGGCACAATCTCCACTCACTGCAACCTCCGTCTCCTGGGTTCAAGCGATTCTCCTGCCTCATCCTCCCAAGTAGCTGGGATTACAGGCACCTGCCACCACGCCTGGCTAATTTTTTGTATTTTTAGGAGAGACAGGGTTTCACCATGTTGGCCAGGCTGGTCTGGAACTCCTGACCTCAGATGATCCACCCGCCTCGGCCTCCCACAATGCTGGGATTACAGACGTGAGCCACCACGCCCAGCCTGCATTTTTTTTTCAATAAAAATTACACCAAGTGTGCCTGCCTCTCCTACCTCCCCTTTGACCTCCACCTATTCCACTCTGCCACCCGTGAGACAGCAAGACCAACTCCTTTTCTTCCTCTTTCTCTTCAGCCTACTCAATGGAAGACCATGAGGAAAAAGACCTTTACAGTGATCCACTTCCATTTAATGAATAGTAAATATATTTTCTCATTCTTATGAGTTTCTTAATAACAATTTTTAAAATTTTCTTTTCTCTAAGTTACTTTATTGTAAGAATACAGTGTATAATACACATAGCATACAAGATATGTGCCAATCAACTGTTTATGTTATCGGTAAGGCTTCTGGTCAACAGCAGGCTATTAGTAGTTAAGTTTTGTGGGAGTCAATTTTCAACTGCACAGAGTGGGTCAATGCCCCTAACCCTCGAATTTTTCAAAAAGCAACTGTATTTGCGGCTCCCAATGAATCACACTTCCTAATATTCATACCGTAGCGTAGTTCTCTCCCATATTGACTCTGGGCTCGGGCAGGTAACTTACTTTGGGCAATAAGGCATCCACACATACGACGCAAACAGAGGCTATATAAGTATCTGCGTTTTGGGGTTTTCCCTCCTGGAATGCTTTTTTTTTTTTTTTTTTTGACGGAGTCTCACTCTGTCTCCCAGGCTAAAGTACATTTGTGCGATCTCAGCTCACTGCAACCTCCACCTACTGGGTTCAAGCAATTCTCCTGCCTCAGCCTCCCAAGTAGATGGGATTACAGGCGCCGCAACCACACCTGGATAATTTTTGCATTTTTAGTAGAGACGAGGCTTCACTATGTTGGTCAGGCTGGTCTCCAACTTCTGACCTCAGGTGATCCGCCTGCCTCGGCCTCTCAGAATGCTAGGATTACTGGCGTGAGCCACTGCTCCCAGCCTGGAATGCTATTTTTGTCATGTGAAGAAACTCAGTCTGTTGTCTTTGATGATGAAACATCTTATGGTAAGGGAGAGATCAAGCCATCCCAGGCATCCCAGTTAAACCCAGCTCCTGTGTAACCCACTAGGGGATACAGAATACAGCTGTATGAATGAGCCCACACAAGACCAGTAGAATTGCCTCACCAAACCAGAGAATTGTGATAAATAATAAATCATCAGTCTTTTAAGCAACTAAGTTTTGAAGTAATTTGTTACATAATAGATAACTGTAACAAAGGTACTCTATCCTTTTTCTCTGGCTACTTTAAAATTTTCCTTTACTTTTGATGTTCTGAAATTTTATTATAATGTCTCTGGCTGTTGATTTCTATTTGTTCCATGTTATATTCATCCAACTCCTCAAATTTATGGATTTGTGCCTATAATCATTTCTGGAAAATTTTTAGCCATCATCTCCTCTAGTATTGTCTGTGCTCCATTCTTGCTCTGCTCTCCTTACAGAACTCTGATTAGACATAGGGTGGACCTTCTCACCCTATCCTTTATGGGTCTTCTCTTAGCATCTCTTTTGTCTTTTTGCAACTCTTTGTCTCTTGCCTCTATGTTGGATCATTTCTTCTATCTTCCAGTTCAGTAATAGGCTATATTAAACTTGCTTTTTTATCTTTTTTTTTTTTTTTTTTAGAGACGCACTCTCACTCTGTTGTCCAGGCTGGAGTGCAGTGGTGCCATCTTGGCTCACTGCAACCTCTGCCTCCTGGGTTCCAGCAGTTCTCCTGCCTCAGTAGGAAGCAGGAGAGTAGCTGGGATTACAGGCGCCCGCCACCACCCCTGGCTAATTTTTGTGATTTTTAGTAGAGACAGGGTTTCACCATATTGGTCAGGCTGGTCTCGAACTCCTGGCCTCAGCTGATCCACCTGCCTCGGCCTCCCAAAGTGCTGGGGTTACAGGCGTGAGCCACTGCGCCCGGCCTAAACTTGCTTTTAGATCTGTCCTTTGAGTGCTTTATTTTAATTACTATGTTTTATTTATGGAATATCTGTTTGGTCCCTTCTCAAATCTACTGTGTCATTTTTATAGCCTAAGCTTATTTTCAGATTCAATCTTGCCTTTTTTTATATATAATAAGCAGAGGGTTTATTCAAAAGATGAGTAATTATTCTTTCTTATGCACAATGTCTCATTTATTTATAACTGCTTTCATTGTTCTTTAGATATTATATTTGAGAATTTTAAAATCTGTGGTTTTTTATTATGGTATATATATATGGTATAAATATATAATATTTATTGTTTTAACCATTCATAATTTTATGCGGCATTAAATACATCCACAATGTTGTATAATCTTCATCACTACATTTATCCCAAACATTTTTATCATTCCCACTTAAAACTCTATACCCATTAAACAATAACTCGCTTTCCTTTCTCTTCCATCCCTGGTAACCTCTATTCTACTTTCTATATCTATGAATTTGCCTATTCTAGGTACCTTGTATAAATGGAATCATAGAATATTTGTCCTGTGCCTGGATTATTTCAATAAGCATAATGTTTCAAGGCCCATTCGTGTAGCATACATTTTGGGAATTTGTTGATGTGTAAGATGAAGGCATATTCCTCCTAAGAAGATTTGTATTTGCATATTCTGGGTGCCTAGAAGCAGTAACACTGTGGGACCACTTTTAAATTAAATTCAGAATTTCAATTTTTTAACCACTCAGATAATATCAAATTGACCTGCAGATACTCAGAAGGGCTCATCTGCTAGGTACAAGTTCTCAGAGACTTTTTCTTATTCCTCTTGCTCTGCTGAGCCCCAGAATCTTTATGAAAGGTGTATTACTTTGCTAGGGCTGCCATAACAAAATACCACAGACTGGAAATCTTAACAACAGAAAATTTTCTTACAGTTCCGAAGGCTGGAAGTCCCAGATCAAGGTGCTGGCAGGGTTGGGTCCTCTGAGGCCTCTCTTTTTGGTTTGCAGAGGGTCACCCACCTGCTACCTCCTCACACAGTCATTGCTCTGTGCACTGGTGTCTGTCCTGGTGTCTTTGTGTGTTCCAATCTCTTCTTAGGACACCGGTCATATTGGATTAGAACACACCCTAACAGCCTCATTTTAACTTAATTACCTCTTTAAAGAGACTATTTTCAAATAGGACCTCCGGGTATCAGAGATTTTGGCACCTAGCTTTCCATTTAGTCTTCTTGGTTCCCATATCCATTTATATTTTAATCTATTAATTTCTTATTATCTTGTCAGCTTTTCTATGTTTGAGTAATGTATCCTTGCATAGTATCAGTATCATAAACAACATTCTACTGAATTTTATATAGTAAGCAACATGTGAACATTTTGTTACTTTTGTAAAAGTGTTTTCCCACTATACTTATGTTTTTCTTTCTTTTTTTTTTTTTTTTTTTTTTTTTTAGAGACGGAGTCTCGCTCTGTCGCCCAGGCTGGGGTGCGATGGCGCGATCTCGGCTCACTGCAACCTCCGCCTCCCGGGTTCAGGTGATGCGCCTGCCTCAGCCTCCCAAGTAGCTGGAATCACAGGCGTCCACCACCAGCTAAATTTTTTTGTATTTTTAGTAGAGACGAGGTTTCAGCAGGTTGGCCAGGCTGGTCTCAAACTCCTGACCTCGGGTGATCCTGAGAGGTGACAACATGCTAGCAGCCCTCGGGCGCCTCCTCGGCCTCGGTGTCTGCTCTGGCCACGCTCAAGGAGCCCTTCAGCCCGCAGCTGCACTGTGAGGGCCCCTCTCTGGGGCTGGCCGAGGCCAAAGCCGGCTCCCTCTACTGGCGGGAAAGTGTGAAGAGAGAGACGCGGGCTGGAGCTGGGGCTGCGCACACCGCTCGCGGGCCGGCACGGGTTCTGGGTGGGCGCAGGCTCGGCGGGCTTCGCGAGCCCTGCACTCGGCGCCGCCGGCTGGCGCCTGCTGGGCTTGATTGGAGGCTGGGTCCCGTGCATGAATCGCCCTTCCTTCTTCGCGCGGTCGTTGGCCACGATGGCGGCTCTCCGTCTTTCTCGCTTTCCCTCTTTTCCTCTTGGTTGTCCGGGAGGAGCTTCCTCTGGGCTGCCGGACTGCCCAGGCTGGGTGCCCCAAACTCCCTGCAGCGAGCTCCAGTCAGAGGTGAAGCTCGCTGGGCTTCTGAGACGGGTTCGCAGTTGGAGAACTTTTCTGTCTCGCTAAAAAATTGTAAATGCACCCATCAGCACTCTGTGTCTAGCTAATGGGGCGGGGACTTGGAGAACTTTTGTGTCTAGCTAAAGGATTGTAAATGCACCAATCAGCACTCTGTGTCTAGCTAAAGGTTTGTAAACTCACCAATCAGCACTCTGTCAAAATGGACCAATCAGCTCTCTGTCAAATGGACCAATCAGCAGGATGTGGGTGGGGCCAGATAAGGGAATAAAAGCAAGCCACCAGCCCCAACAGTAACAACGTACTGTAGTTCCCTTCCGTGCCGTGGTAGGTTTGTTGTTTTGCTTTTTACAATGAATCTTGTTGTTGCTCAGTTTCCATTCGTATTTCCTTCATGAACTGTAACACTCACAGGGAAAGTCAGCAGCTTCACTTCTAGAGCCAGCAAGACTGTGAACCCACTGGGAGGGATGAACAATTCTGCCACCTTTATGAACTGTAACACTCATTGCAAAGGTTTGCAGCCTCACTTCTGAGGCCTGCAAGACCACAAACCCAGTAGAAGGTAGGAACAACTCCAGACATGCTGCATTTGAGAGCTGTAACACTCAATGCTGAAGGTCTGCAGTTTCATTCCTGAAGTCAGTGAGACCACGAACCCACCAGAAGGAAGAAACTCTGGACACATCTGAACAGCCGAAGGAACAAACTCTAGGCACACCATGTTTAAGAACTGTGACACCACCAGGGTGTGCAGCTTCATTCTTGAGGTCAACATAAACCAAGAATCCACCAATTCCAGATACAGTTCACCCATCTTGGCCTCCGAAAGTAATGGGATTACAGGCGTGAGTCACCACACCTGGCCTACTTCTGTTTTTCTTTAGTTTTTCAACACAGATGGAATGATGAAGACTAGCAAGGCTTTGAGCACTGAGTGCAGAGATGGTCACAAAGTGGAAGTTCATTCAAATTTGTTGAATAAATATAAGTTCTTTGTTGTTATATGGTCAGATATGCTGTTGCTTTCCCTTGTGAATCGTCCTGTTTCTGGCATCCAAAAATTGAGGGTTATTCCTGTCATTTATACATTAAATGGAAGATATGCTGGAGTAAACAAATCAGTCAATATTTCTAAAATGTATGGTATTACAAATGTAGGTAAAGTTAATACCAACCTTAATTTTACTTATTTTTTGTGGAGATGGAGTCCAGCTATGTTGCCCAGGCTAGTCTCGAACTCCTGGCCTCCCACCTCCTCCCAAAGTGCTGGGATTACAGGCATGAGCCACTGCACCTGGTAAAACCTTAACTTTATTCAGTCAACCTGATTAAATTATGCTCCAGACCTCTGATGATATTCTGACCTCATGAAATGTGATTAACACCTTGGATTATGTTTTTCTGTGTTTCTAAAGTAAGTTAATCATGTTGAGAGACATGCCTGTATTCTCCCCCAAGGCAATTTGCTTATTAAAAACATTTTTCTGAGCCATTTCCAAGAACTTGAACCTTGGAGACATCAAACCAGTCTCAGGACATAACTTGACAAAGGAATTCGCTTCTCAGGGTCCTCTGCCTCCCCTCAATTTCTGTAATTCTTTTCACGCTTTCCATTTGTAATGCCTAGGGATCGAGGGGGAACAGGAAATCTCCGTCTTCCTAACAATGGCAGCACTCACAGGATGAGGTCCTTCTCTTCCAAAGGTCCCGGGAGCACACTCCTCATTTGGTGAGGTGCCTATTTATATCAATGACCTTCCCCACTTGCAGAACTTGAACAGCTGCACAATATATATAACGAAATGGAAAGTAACATGACACGTGTTTCAAAGAGAACACAGGGAAAGGGATATGTATCCAACGTTCCTTCCAGCTCTCAAAGCCTGTGCTTCCTTGAGTCAATATCATAAAAATAACAAGGGAGCCACCCTGGAGCATGACTGAGAAGGCTGTTTTAGAGAACATAATTTTGACTCTCTAAAGGCCAAGCCTGAAAGAAAGAAGAAAATGTTTAAGAAAGGAGAGGGGGGCTGCTAATAGCTCTTAATGAGTGATAGAGTTACGCTCTTTTAAAATCTGAAACAGGCCATCTTCAAAGGCACCAATCATTTCACTCAATGTATTTGAAAATAATTATAGATTTATTTCTTGGTACCCTTGAGATACAGAATCATGTTTGTATGACTTTGTATCTGCAGGGCCTATCTAAGGCAGGGCCTTATACACAATAGTCACTCAATTCATGTGTCTTAATGAATTAGGACAATCTCAAGAGTGACAGAGGCTCTGTGTGTGTGTGTGTGTATGTGCACGCACATGCATATACCACTAATTCTAAGGAATCAACATCTATGGTACCTGCTGTATACCATATAATCCACATTTATGGTATACCACATTGCTCAAGGAATTGAGGCTTTTGAGGAGATGCCACAGGTGGAGTATAAAACTATTCTAAACTGTAATTTTTTTTTTTGAGACGGAGTCTCGCTTTTGTTGCCCAGGCTGGAGTGCAATAGCGCGATCTCGGCTCACTGCAGCCTCCGCCTCCTGGGTTCAAGAGATTCTCCTTCCTCAGCCTCCCAAGTAGCTGGGATTACAGGCATACGCCACCACACCTAATTTTTCTATTTTTAGTAGAGACAGGGTTTCTCCAGGTTGGCCAGTCTGGTCTCAAACTCCCAACCTCAGGTGATCCACCTTCCTCAGCATCCCAAAGTGCTGGGATTACAGGCATGAGCCACTGCGCCCAGCCTAAAGTTTAATTTTTTTTTATTTTTTTTTTTTGAGACAGAGTCTTGCTCTGTCGCCCGGGCTGGAGTGCAGTGGCGCGATCTCGGCTCACTGTGAGCTTCGCCTCCTGGGTTCATGCCATTTTCCTGCCTCAGCCTCCTGAGTAGCTGGGACTACAGGCGCCCACCACCACGCCCGGCTAATTTTTTGTATTTTTTTAGTAGAGACAGGGTTTCACCATGTTAGCCAGGATGGTCTCGATCTCCCGACCTCGTGATCCACCTGCCTGGGCCTCCCAGAGTGCTGGGATTACGGGCGTGAGCCACCGCGCCCAGCCTTAAGTACTATTTTAAAATATTTTTGTGATGACTAACAACTACATTTATGACTTCTTGTAGAACAATGGATTCGGCAGCTTATCTCAGAGGTAATTATGCCCTCTTTTGCAATATTCACCATAGCTGAGCAATGGAGATTATTCCTAGCTAAATGATGGAATGGTTGTTGACACTGCTTCCATTTGATGTTTTGTTTTGTTTTTCTTGTAACTGAGTCTCGCTCTGTAGTCCAGGCTGGAGTACAGTGGTGCGATCTCCACTCACTGCAAGCTCTGCCTCCTAGGTTCACGCCATTCTCCTGCCTCAGCCTCCTTAGTAGCTGGGACTACAGGCTCCTGCCACCACGCCTGGCTAATTTTTTGTATTTTTTAGTAGAGATGGGGTTTCACCGTGTTAGCCAGGATGGTCTTGATCTCCTGACCTCGTGATGCGCCCGCCTCGGCCTCCCAAAGTGCTGGGATTACAGGCGTGAGCCACCGCGCCCGGCCTAAAGTATAATTTTTTTGAAAGTCAAATTAACTCTCCTTCCACATCCACAAAAGACCAAAAAGCAGAGGCCCTGTCAGCCTAAGGAGTCTTCATCTTCTTACTCACCCTCATCTTCCCCATTGTGCATCTCCATTAATTTGGAAGCAAGTATTGTGCTGCTTACTCAGATTGCTACAGTTGCTAGCTGCAGCCCTGGAAGCCACAGTCCTACGCTTTCATTATCCTTGTCTCAGAAGCACACTTCCTCTTTCTAACAGCATAGTGGGAAAACAGCAATGTTGTTTTCCAGTTACTCACTTGTCAAGGCTGCTCAATAGAAAGCACAAGGAGCATACAAACACATGAATGTGTTCAAATAATTTGGAAACAGGTTTTTCTTTTACTATAGGGAGAACATGGAGACTTCTTTCTGTCACACCCCACCCAATTTTACCCACTAGCTATTTTCAGGGATATAAAGTTAGCTTTACTACTTCTTTTTTCCCTGAAAAAAAGAGGTTTTGAATGGGAGAATAGGAAAGTCGTTTTACTAAGATTAAGTGAAATCCTGGTCCCAAATCAAAGGGCATCAAGGTGGCAATATGAGGGAAGGAACACAGATGTGCTTATCCGTAAAACTCGAGGTTGCGTTCTAGATAGTCTGAGACCCCTTCCTGCTCTGGAATTCTAAGATTCTGTGATTTAAATTTAGAAAAGTGATAAGGAGGAAAGACAGGTATGTGAAAAGATTGGAGCTACCGCAGAGATAACCCGTATGTTCTACCTGGCTACAGTGGTACAAGGCTGGCCTGGAGGAATCAGGACCTAAAGATAGTTTCAACAATTCCGCCTCCTCTTTGTTGAATGGGTAAAGGTAACAGAAGAATAAACCTAGCTCCGGAAGCTAGGAGGAAGTACAGAGACAAGCAGAGATTGAATTCTGATTGATGAGACAACGCAAAGTAGATACTGGGGAGCTCTACAACCCAGAATCAGTGAACCCAAATGGCAGGCAAAGAACAGACTGGAAATCAAAGGGTGTCCGGAATTGGTGGGTTCTTGGTCTTGCTGACTTAAAGATTGAAGCCACGGACCCTTGCGGCAAGTGTTACAGTTCTTAAAGATGGTTTGTCCAGAGTTTGTTCCTTCAGACGTTCATATGTGTCTGGAGTTTTTTCCTTCTGGTGGGCTCATGGTCTCGCTGGCTTCAAGGAGTGAAGCTGCAGACCATCACAGTGAGTATTACAGTTCTTAAAAGGTGGCAGGCTTGGAGTTGTTCGTCTCTTCCGGTGGGTTCGTGGTCTTGCTGACTTCAGGAATGAAGCTGCAGACCTCTGTGGTGAATATTACAGCTCATAAAGGCACCACAGACCCAAACAGTGAGCAGTAAAAACATTTAGCAAAGAGCAAAAGAATAAAGCTTCCACATTGTGGAAGGGGACTCACTTGGGTTGCAGCTGCAGGCTCAGGCAGCCTGCTTTTATTCCTATATCTGGCCCCACCCACATCCTGCTGATTGGTCCATTTTACAGAGAGCTGATTGGTCCATTTTGCAGAGAGCTGATTGGTCTGTTTTACAGACCAATTTTTTGGTCTCCTGGGTTCAAGCAATTTTGTAGAGAGCTGACTGGTCTGTTTTGACAGGGTGCTGACTGGTGTGTTTACAATCCCCGAGCTAGACACAGAGTGCTGATTGGTGCATTTATAATCCTCTAGCTAGACATAAAAGTTCTCCACGTCCCCAGTAGATTAGCTAGACACAGCACTGATTGGTGTGTTTACAAACCTTTAGCTAGACAGAGTGCTGATTGGTGCATTGACAATCCTCTAGCTAGACATAAAAGTTCTCCAAGTCCCCACCCGACTGAGGAGCGCAGCTGGCTTCGCCTACTGGATCCTGCGCCTGGGCCGCGGGGGGAGGGGAGCAGGGAGGAGGGGGGAGAAGGGAGGGGAGGGGGGAGGGAGGGTGCAGGGGGAGGGGGCGGGGAGGGGCAAGGGGGCGGGGAGGGAGGGGGTGGGGCAGGAGGAGGTGGGGAGGGGACTGGGGGAAGGGAGAGGGGGAAGGGGCAGGGGGGAAGGGGGGGCTAGGGTGGGCATGGCGGGCTGCAGATCCTGAGCCCTGCCCTGTGGGGAGGAGGCTGAGGCCTGCGGCTGTCAGTGCTGGGGGACCTGGCACACCCTCCGCAGCTGCTGGCCCGGGTGCTAAGCCCCTCACTGCGCAGGGCCAGTGGCACTGGCAGGCCGCTCCGAGTGCGGGGCCCGCCAAGCCCGTGCCCACCCGGAACTCGCGCTGGCCCCCAAGCACCGCGTGCAGCCCCGGTTCCCGCCTGAGCCGGCTTCAGCCTTGGCCAGCCCAGAGAGGGGCTCCCACAGTGCAGTGGCAGGCTGAAGGGCTCCTCAAGTGTGGCCAGAGTGGACGCTGAGGCCGAGGAGGCGCTGAGAGTGAGCGAGGGCTGCTAGCATGTTGTCATCTCTCAAAAGGACTGTTAATTTTCAGAGATCCAAACAAAACAGGGGAGAGGTGGCCTCAAGGAAGTTGACTGGGACTTAGATAAATGCAAAAAGATGGAATCTGCTTGCAGAATTGGGTTCAAGGCAGACCTTCTGGCCTCAGGTATAGGAAAAGGCCAATGTACAAAAGTAGATGTAAGTAAAGCTAGGTGATGGATTAATGATGGCCACAAATCTGACACTTCTTCCAACAAGAGATAGGATCTATTTCCTACACTGTTGAATCTGGGCAGCTTTTTTGATTGATTTGATCAATAGAATCTGAAGGAAATTATGCTATGCTAGTTTCTTGGGTCAGGACTCAAACAAGTGGCAGCTGCCACTACTTTCTGCCTCTTGGCACACTCACTCTTGGAAATTAGCTGCCATGCCGTGCGGAAGCCCAAGCAGTCTTCTAAAGAGAACTAAGCTGAGAGAAAACAAGATCCCCATCCAGCCCTGCCAGCTGACTTTCAGCCAATAACCAGCATTAACTTGTCTGTTTATTATGAGTGAGTGAACCATCTTGGAAGTGGATCTTCCAGGCCCATTTGAGCTACCCCAGCTGATGACAGATGGAGCAAGGACCAGCTGTCCTTGCTAACTCTTCCCTAAATTACAGATTCATGAGCAAACTAAATGATTGTCTTAAACAACTGAATTTTAAAGTGATTTGTTATGTAGCAATAGATGACCAGAACAGTCATTATACTATTATCTCTACTTTTATGTATGTTTGAAAATTCCGGCCAGGCACAGTGGCTCACACATTCAATCCTAGTACTTTGGGAGGCAGAAATGGAAGGATCATGTCACCCTAGGAGTTCAAGACCAGCCTGGACAACACAGTGAGACCCAGATCTCTAAAAAAAGAAAAAAGAAGAAAATTTCTATACTATTAATTTAAAAATATTTTAAATGCTTATGGAAACAGCAGCATGGTGTGACTTAGCATTTGAGCCCTCGAAAAGCGATGTTTCTCAAAGGGTGGTCTGGAAACCGTTTGCATCAGTATTCCCAGAAGGTGCTTATAAAATAGATTACTGAACCTAACCTCACACTCGGTGAGTTAGAATCTCTCAGAAGAAAAAAGAACCTACATTTTTCGCAGGCACTGCCAGGGAATTGATACCCTTTAAAGTTTAAGAGACACTGGGCTACCTTCGCCTCCTGAGTTCAAGCAATTCTAGTGCCTCAGCCTCCTAAGCAGCTGGAACTACAGGCACACACCATCACACCCAGATAATTTTTGTATTTTTAGTAGAGACAGGTTTTCACCATGTTGGCCAGGCTGGTCTCTGTCTCAAAAAAAAAAAAAAAAAAAAAAAAGAGACACTGGGCTAGAGCTGTGGTTTTCAACCTTGGCTTCACATCTCAATCAGCTAGGGAACTGTACAAAATACAGGTGGCTGGGTCCCATGCTCATAGTTAATAGTTTGAGGTGCACCTGGGCCCTAGGATTTTTCAAAGCTCTCCAGATGACTGCAATATGCAGCCAGGGTTGAGCGCTACTGAACAGAAGGGTTAGGATCGGAGAGCTGCGGAGGAGCCAGTTGTCACCGTCTATGTGAAGGAGAGGGCTACAGAGACTGGGAGCTGCTGCAGAGTCTGCTGGAGCAGGCCACCTGTGAGGATGCATAACCCGAAAGAGCAATGGGGATTCTTTGTGAGACTAAGTGACATACGCCATGTGGGGTGGAAAATACAAAAACATGAAAGGAAACTCTGCATCATCATTTTGAACTAATGGGAAATGAAGGTCCCAAAACACAAACTCAAGTTCCCCTTCATGACTGGGTAGAAAATAGATGTTTTTCTACTGAGAGGAATTCTGATTTTTATTTCCTTTTCAAAGTTATTTCTACCTCCACTTTAACTTTTTCATTTCTCTCTTGCGATCTCAAAGGCATTCCTAAGCATAACTTCATATCTGGGCCTCTGATTACGAGGGGTGTGGTAAGTTATTAAAGAAGTAGGCGTGGCCGGGCGTGGTGGCTCACGTGTGTAATCTCAGAACTTTGGGAGGCCAAGGCAGGCAGATCACGAGGTCAGGAGATCGAGACCATCCTGGCTAACGCGGTGAAACCCCGTCTCTACTAAAAGTAGAAAAAAAATAGCAGGCCATGGTGGTACGTGCCTGTGGTCCCAGCTACTCGGGAGGCTTGAGACAGGAGAATAACTTGAACCTGGGAGGCGGAGGTTGCAGTGGGCTGAGATGGCACCACTGCACTTCAGCCTGGGCGACAACAGAGTGAGACTCCATCTCAGAAAAAAAAAAAAAAAAAAAAAAGAAGTAGGCCTGTGGGAAGAGTCGTTAAGTACAAGGAATATGCAAGATGCTTCCAAAGGATTGCTGGATCTGCAAATGTGACGGGCCACGAATTATTTATTTTTCTTATTTTTTAATTGTTTTTGGCAACAGGGTCTCACTTTATCGCCTAGGCTGGAGTACAGGGGCATGATCACAACTCATTGCAACCTTGACCTCCTGGGGCTCAAGTGATCCTCCCACCTTAGCCTCCCAAGTAGCTAGGACCACAGGTGTGGACCACCATGCCTAGCTAATTTGTTTTAGTTTTTTTAGAGATGAGATCTCAGTATGTTGCCCAGGCTGCTCTTGAATTCCTGGCCTCAAGTGATCCTCCCACCTCCACCTCCCAAAGTGTTGGGATTACCCATGTGAGCCACTGTGCCTGGCCTGGGGGCACAAATTATTAACATATGAGTATTCAGAGCTCCCCCTCTTTCCCCATTGCTAAAGGGAATTTTGTATTTGTCTACTTGATTTTAATCCTCTTCCTCCTGGCTTTCCCCAGATGGAAGAGAATTTAGATGGATCCACTGGGAAGGCAGAAGTGATACTAGAAAGCTGCACTGGCTGTTTATTAAAGAGTTTTATTCTGGTATGAGTAAAACAGTTTTACCATGGCATGTGAGATGATTAGAGAGGAGAGAAAAAGGGAACAAATAAGTGATGCTGTGGATTATGAAAAGAATCTGTTTTTGATAGTCTCTGAGAAATTCAAAAGGAGAATTGAGTTGCTTTTTAAATACTTTCACTTTTTCCTTGATGGCATCACCCACCCTGAGTCTGGTCCTAGATACGTGAGCATTGCATAAACATGAACCTAGTGTTGGAAGCTGCAATGCTATTCCGGGGACTGACTGCTGTCCTTGTAAATTAGATGCAGTGTTCTTGGGCTAACATTCCACCTTTTTATGATTTATATATATTTTTATTAACAAGCATCCAAGAATTACCATATATATTTGACTAGTCAATTTTTTAGCACTACAAGAGGAAAAAAATGAATTCTTGTTACTCTGTTGCAGATGGAATCTCAAATCAAAATATTTTATGGACAGCTATATGAGAGGAGCAAGAAAAAATGTATTCCTGGTCAGTAGTAATGCCAACCACCGTCTGTATTGTATGAACCCAGTCTCTTGTGAGGAAGAACCACTTCTTGTTTGCATGAAAATTACCAGACCAGGGTGTTAGTGGGGAATGGTTCTGAGTAGAGTCCTTGGGGGCAGAAATGGTTAATGTTTCCCAGATAGTGGCGGACTTCTCTACATTTCTCTACCTCCTTGCGGTTGGGTTGGGGACACATGATCAGACCTGGACAATGAGCTTCAAGCAGAAGGGATGCTTTTGTCACTCACTTCTAAGCCTGTGCATTTGAAAGCTAATATGTTTCCTCTCGTCCTCTCTTTCCCTTTCCAAAGTGACCTTGAAGGTACAGAATGCAGATGCCATCATCACTGGCCATATCAGGTTGGTGCAAAAGTAATTGCGGTTTTGCATTAAAAGTGCTCTGATTTCACTGTTTAGAGAGCTGCCAAGAGAAGCCTGCCTCAGGCTGTGATATGAGTGAGAAGTACACTTTTGTTAGGTTAAGCTGCTGAGAACTTGAGGTTTATTTGTTACCGAAGCATAACCTAGCATTAGCCTGACTAACCTTGTCCCTGGGGAAAATGAGAAAAGATTATGTTACCCTTCTTACTGGAACACTGTGCAGAGAGAAGAAAGCCTATGGCTACTACTTTAGAAATCAACGCAGGAAGGCTACATTCCCATTTTCTGGGAGCTGCAAGGACACATTTGATATAAACATCTTGAGGCAGAATAATTTTGCATCTACTTGTCCAGATTCTCTGAGGTTCCCACTCATTGCTTGTCTCATACATTTTGTGACAAACTTTTCAGTAAACTTTACTATGTTGACCTGGGGTGGAGCTCTGGGCAGAAATCTGTGTTCAATATGAGGAAGATGTAGCAATACCTTTGAAAAAGCCAAGAGTCTTAATCTGCTTAATGATTGCAACACTGCCTTCTCACTTACCTGATGCCAAAGACTTTCTATAGCAGTGGGCTGCTGGGAGATGGCCGCTGTCCTCAGAGATCTTTTGGTCAAGGCTGGCTGGCTTAATAGAAGACTGATCTCTTGGCTTTAGGCTCTCAGAACTTTAAAATAGTGCCACCTCAGCTGGGCACGGTGGCTCACGGCTGTAATCCCAGCACTTTGGGAGGCCGAGGCGGGCAGATTACGACGTCAGGAGATCGAGACCATCCTGGCTAACACGGTGAAACCCTGTCTCTACTAAAAATACAAAAAATTAGCCAGGCGTGGTGGCGGGTGCCTGTAGTCCCAGCTACTCGAGAGGCTGAGGCAGGAGAATGGCATGAACCCAGGAGGCGGACCTTGCAGTGAGATCGGGCCACTGCACTCCAACCTGGGTAACAGAGTGAGACTCTGTCTAAAAAAAAAAAAAAAAAAAAAAAAAAAATTGTGCCACCTTGCTTTAGATGAAAGGACTTTTAGTTTCATTTTGATATAAGTCATAACTAGCGGCAAATTAAACCAAAGTGGGATTTCAGAAATCAAGTCTTTATTACTTAAAACTAAGAACTTGCCTTAAAGATTCAACAAGATCATGTTTTTTGTTTTATTTTGTTTTGTTTATTTGAGACAGAGTCTCACTCTGTCGCCCAGGCTGGAGTGCAGTGGCGCAATCTCGGCTCACTGCAACCCAGCTCACCGCAACCTCCTCCTCCCAGGTTCAAGCAATTGTTGTGCCTCAGCCTCCCAAGTAGTTGGGACTACAGGTGCACACCATCACACCCAGCTAATTTTTGAGACAGGGTTTCACCATGTTGGCCAGGCTGGTCTCAAACTCCTGACCTCAGGTGATCCACCCACCTCGGCCTCCTAAAGTGCTGGGATTACAGGTGTGAGCCACCGCGCCCAGCCAAGATAATGTTTTTGAAGCTTCAACTGGATAATGTATATGAAAGTGCTTTATAAATCATTTGTTGTTGGCACTATCCATAGCTATGTTCACTCGTTTGGTTTTAGACAAAAGAGAATCATCATCATATTTTTTAAAGACGATTTAACACCAGTAAAAATGTAGACTTATGCTCATGTAGACAGCTGCCTTGTGGGGTGTCTTTGTCCTTGACTAATGAATGTCCTCTCATAGCCTATGTCTGTTTCAATAGTGTGCAATCTGGTTATATGAGTCTTTTTTTTTTTTTAAGCACCAAAACCCAGCATTTAGGCCACGGGTTTCTTTATTGCCATCTAAGGAGTCCTGGCAGACTGGAGCCATTTTTCCCTCTGACAGACCTTTAAATGATTCTTCATGCATTTGTCACATAATTAAAATTAGATTACTTCAACTCCCTGCTGGCTGGCCTGAGTGGGGGCCCTTGTAAAGCCTCCAGCTGGCCCGGGGGCCTTTGAAAGGGGGAATACGGTCCAAACACACTCAGCCGCTGCTTTGCCCCACCCCCAGCCTGGAAGTCATTGTGCTCCTTGCCAGTTAGACAAGATTTACCCGGAGTTTATCAATGGCTGCTTATTTTCTAAGGGCCGGATTTTCCATTCTAAAGAACGTGGAGTCAGAGATCAGTATGTTTGTTCCTAAGGAGCTGCAGCCGGTCTGGTCCTCCGTTGCTCAGCACCCAGAGAGCTCACCTTTTAGAGGTTTGCCTTGTAGGTCAGCTGAAATGGATAGCCAGGGACAGCAGAATGATTGAGCAGCTGAGAGCATATACTGTAGTAAATATTTGCTGCCAAATAATTGTTTGTTTTCTCAGCCAAGGCAGAATTCAAAATCCCTTCTCTTTTCCCAAGGCCCTTCTCCTATAAACCTCTCCATCCTTCTGCCAACAGGACACTCTCTGGCTGGGTTTCTCTGGACAGCCTAAATTAGGGCTTCACACTGAGAGCTCCCATCACTGCAGACAGCACAAAGTGACACCTCGAAATATCTTCTCCAGCTGAATTTCCAACATCTGCCTTTTCTCTTTCTCAATTTCCTTAAAAATTTAAAGAAAGGACAGCCAGGCGCGGTGGCTCACACCTGTAATCCGAGTACTTTGGGAGGCCGAGGTGGGCGCATCACGAGGTCACGAGATCAAGATCATCCTGGCTAACATGGTGAAACCCCGTCTCTACTAAAAATACAAAAAAAAAAAAAAAAATTAGCCGGGCGTGGTGGTGGGTGCCTGTAGTCCCAGCTACTTGGGAGGCTGAGGCAGGAGAATGGCATGAACCTGGGAAGTGGAGGTTGTAGTGAGCAGAGATCGCATCATTGCACTCCAGCCTGGGTGACAGAGCGAGACTCTGTCTCAAAAAAAAAAAAAAAAATTTAAAGAAAGGACAAGTGAAGATTAGTGTTACTATCTGTCAAGGAATCTCAGCTCCCTCTGCTAAAAGAACAGCTCTCATCTTTCACTCTTGGCATTTTCTCTCTCTGGCCAAGTGCCTCCTTTACAATCTTTCCCTGGGTCATTTCAGTTCATCTTCCCTCTGCCTGCCTTTTACTCGTCCACTTTCTATTATATTGCACAGCCGCAAAAGAAAGGGTTTGAATTAAATCCGATGTGAGCTAGACTCCCCTGTTAGCAATTTATTAGTGCTGTGACCTTGAGCTAGTGACTTAACCTCTCTGAACTTTATTTCTTTACCCTAAAATTGGGCATAATAATGGCCACCTTACGTGACTGTAAGGAGGATCAGGAATAATGTAATTAATGCCTAGCCAATAATAAGTGCTTTAACCTGGCTTCTCAGCAGAGCAGAGGAATTACGCCCTTACGCTTAGTTATTAAACACTGCCTTCCCTATTTCTGTAAAGGCAGTTAATTTCTGTAACTTATTTATTATTAAATCCTTCACAATACGATGGATGTCCTTTAATCCACCATACAAAAGATAGCTATCACCATAATTACTTACAAAAGATAGCCATCACCGTAATTTCTGCGAAAATGCCTTAACTGCAACTGCTCTGGGGTGTGTGTGTGTGTGTGCGTGCACACGTGCCTAACACTATTTGCAACGTGCCAGGCCTCTGATCGGTGATAAGCACTTAGTATGGATTCTCTTATGTGAGGTGGCTTCTATCGTATCCCCATTTCACAATGAGGAAATCAGGCTTAGGGATCAAAACTTGCCTGAAGCCCCCCAGTTAGCAACTGGCAAAGCGAGGATTTGAGTCTGAGCAGTCTAGCTCTGGAGCCTGCACTCTATGCCTTTGTCTCAGCAACGCAGGGGGGTCAGTGAAGAAATTAGGACTTCCAGGGTTTTCAGGAAAAAAAATGTGCAAAAGTTCCTACAAACCTGGAGACATCCTTTATAGTCCTAGTCTCACAATCCTTTCTCTGCCTCTCTGGATCCTCTGAGCCAGTGGAGCTCAACCAAGATAAATGATGTCCTCCGGAAGACATTTAGCCATGTCTGGAGACATTTTTGATTGTCACAGCTGGTAGGGTGGGTCAGGGGTGCTACTGGCATCTAGTGGGTAAAAGCCAGGGATACTACCAAACATCCTACAATGCACCAGACAGCTCCCCCTGCCCCTCCCAAAAAAAGAATTATCCATCCCAAAGTGTCAATAGTGTTGAGATTGAGAAAACTGGCTCTGCATCTAGGAGCTTTCTTCCAATTCCTTCCCACAAAAGGGTGTGAGGTTGGGATAAGGAAATCCATGCACTTGTTTTTCTTATGCTACTATCTGGCATGGATATTTAAGGTCAATGCCAAAGCAACCCAACTTACACAATGTTGTCTATTGCAGGTTAGGATCATTCCAGGGCAATACATATTAAGATTTTATTAGGGCCAGTGCAGTGGCTTACACCTGTAATCCCAGCACTTTGGGAGGCCGAGGTGGGTGGATCACGAGGCCAGGAGATCGAGACCATCCTGGCTAACATGGTGAAACCCCATCTCTACTAAACATACAAAAAAATTAGCCAGGCGTGGTGGCGGGCGCCTTTAGTCCCAGCTACTTGGGAGGCTGAGGCAGGAGAATGGCATGAACCTGGGAGGCAGAGCTTGCAGTGAGCCAAGATCGCGCCACTGCACTCCAGCCTGGGTGACAGAGTGAGACTCTGTCTCAAAAAAAAAAAAAATTTATTTAACACATTTAGAGAAAGGTGCTCAAGTGTTTAAAAATTAGAAAAATAAGAATGACAGTATTTGAGGTGGAATTCATATTAAGCACAACTTAACATTTTAGGGCCTTTTAAAAAACATTTAGGAACTATTACTAGTGTCAAATGACAAATTATTAAATGCAAGTAAAGGTTTATTTTATTTATTTATTTTTAATAATTTCAACTTTTATTTTAGATTCAGGGGTACATGTGCAGGTTTGTTACATGGGTATGTTGTGTGATGCTGAGGTTTGGGGTATGAATGATCCCATCATCCAAGTAGTGAGCATAGTATCCAATAGGTAGCTTTTCAAGGTTTTCAGCTTGTCTGCCTCCCTTTCTTCTCCACTAGTCCCCAGTGTCTATTGTTCCCATCTTTATGCCCACATGTACCCAGTGCTTAGCTCCCACTTATAAGTGAGAACATGCAGTATTTGGTTTTCTATTCCTGCATTAATTTGCTTAGGAGAATGGCCTCCAGTTATAACCATGTTGCTGCAAAAGACTTGATTTCATTCTTTTTATGGCTGCATAGTATTCCATAGTATAAATGTACCACATTTTCTTTATCTAGTCCACTGCTAATGGGCATCTAGGCTGATTCCTTGTCTTTGCTATTATGAATAGTGCTGTGATAAACATACAAGTACATGTGTCTTTTTGGTAGAATGATTTATTTGGGTATATACCCAAAAGAAAATAAATCAAACCCAGTAATGGGATTGCTGGGTTGAATGGTAGTTCTGTTTTAAGTTTTTTGAGAAACCTCCAAACTACTTTCCATGGTGGCTGAACTAATTTATATCCTCACCAACAGTGTATAAGTATTCCCTTTTTCTCTGCAGCCTCACCAGCATCTGTTATTTTTTTGGATTTTTAATAATGGCCATTCTGACTGGTATAAGATGGTATCTCACTGTGGTTTTGATTCCCATTTCTCTGATGATTACTGATGTGGAACATTTTTTCAGGTATTTGCTGGCCACTTGTATGTCTTGTTTTGAAAAGTGTCTGTTCATGTCTTTTGCCCACTTTTTAATGGGGTTATTTGTCTTTTGCCTGTTGAATTGTTTGAGTTCTTTATAGTTTCTAAATATCAGATCTTTGTCAGATTCATAGTTTTTGAATATTTTCTCCCATTCTGTAGATGGTCTGTTTACTCTGTTGATAGTTTCTTTTGCTGTGCAGAAGCTCTTAGTTTAATTAGGTCCGCAAGCAAAGATCCAAGTGCAAAAAAAGATTTGTACCAGCAGCTTAGAGAAAAGATTGCTAATTGTATTTTGATACAAATTTTGATGTAATGTGTCACTGAGCAGTGAAACTGTGTGATTTAAAAAGGAAGGGCCGGGCACGGTGGCTCACGCCTGTAATCCCAGCACTTTGGGAGGCCGAGGCGGGCGGATCATGAGGTCAGGAGATCGAGACCATCCTGGCTAAAATTAGTCAGGCATGGTGGGGGGTGCCTGTAGTTCCTGGCTACTTGGGAGGCTGAGGCAGAAGAATGGCATGAACCTGGGAGGCGGAGCTGGCAGTGATCTGAGATAGTGCCACTGCACTGCACTCCAGTCGGGGTGACAGAGCGAGACGCTGTCTCAAAATAAATAAATAAATAAAAAGGAAGGAAGACGGGAGGAAACCAAGTGAAGGGTATACAGGATCTCTGTGTCTGTGTTATTTCTTACAACTGCATGTGATTCAACAATGGTTTCAAAATTCTATTTTATTTATTTATTTATTTTGAGACAGAGTTATTATTTATTTATTTATTCATTCATTCATTTATTTATTTATTTATTTATTTTGAGATGCAGTCTTGCTCTGTTGCCCAGGCTGGAGTGCAGTAGCGTGATCTTGGCTCACTGCAACCTCCGCCTCCTGGGTTCAAGCAATTCTCCTGCCTCGGCCTCCCAAGTAGCTGGGATTACAGGCGTCCACCACCACGCCCAGCGAGTTTTTGTATTTTTAGTAGAGACAGAGTTTCACCATGTTGGCCAGGCTGGTCTTGAACTCCTGACCGCATGTGATCTGCCCACCTCGGCCTCCCAAAGTGCTGGGATTACAGGTGTGAGCCACCACACCCAGCCTTGGTCTCAAAATTTTAAAAGCTTAATTTCAATAACAGAAGAGAGGAAGGATAAAGGAAAGGAAAGAAAGAACATGACATTTGTCTTTTGCTTTTTAAAATTAATTTCTATTTGTAGCAAATTACTACCAGTCACATTTGTTTTTAGTACTTATTTTCAAGATGTAGTTATGATGTTTGCTAAGCCTTTGGGAGGAACGTGGACATTAACAACGGGTCAACTCCTCTGGGCTGGACAGGGCCAATTTACCCATCAGTCACGGTAGGTACAGGTTCTAGGGCCAACAGAAATGTCTTAATCTTAATTTCTCTTAAAAATCAGAAAAAAAAGAATCTAATAATTAAAAATAATAAAATAATATTACAAATACTATATTTTGATATATTCTTGAATATGAATGATAGTCATTATAATAAATATATAGTCATAAATCCAGCCTAGATTATATTCGTTTTTATACCAACAGTCATTAAAAAGTATTAAAGTCATTAAAATATTATTTTAAAAAATTTTTTTAATGGAGGGAGAGACTCCTGAAGTGGTTCGACACTGAACTGGGTATTAAGGGGATTTTTATAGACAGTTGTTGCTGTCCTTAATTACACCAGGATGTTTTTGGCATAGATATGTTTATATATGTATGCACCTATGTATATAAGGAAATGATTTGAGGTCACTGGGGAAAGTGTTTGTGAAATGATGCTGACCACGTGCCAAAGGCTGTAGTAACACCTTATGGCTATAAAACCAACTTTGTGATGTGCATGTTGTTCTAGCGCCAGTGCACGACAGTTGGGTGAGTTTTGCAGGTTCCCCCTGCAGCATTAGCCATGTTCCTGACAATAGCAGCTAATCACAAACACTGCAGCACTTATATCCCTCCCCTGTTGATGTTTCTTTTATTAGCACTCAGGGCTTCCAGGTGTGAGCAAGTAGAAACGGTCTGTGGCATTACAGAAGTCCAAGGACACTTCCTGAGTGGACAAGGTGGGTGGGTGATCCAGTTGTCCACTAAGAAAGTGCCCTTGGGCTTCTGAGCTGGTTGGGTGATCTGCCTGCCATATGTGGCTTCCCATGGGACTCTGCAAAGGTAGCACCAGGTCACCAAGAGGTGTGAACAGAAGGAACAGTCCACTGCCACTCACTGTCTTACTGTGGCTATCTTGAAATGTGGCATTCATATCTATCCCCAAATTCAATGCCAGAAGCTGCTGATAAAGCATAGTCAGAAGCTGATTACGTTTAGAAATATGTTTCCTGGTGTGTAGGTAGAAATATGTTTCCTGGTGTGTAGGTGCAGGGGGCATCTTTCAGTGTGCCTTGTGCTTTGCCCATTGCTGCAGCAGCCAGGGGCTTACAGGTGTGTCCTGGCGCACTGGCCTCAGCAGAGCAGCCTTTCTCTTGCTCACTGCCCTGAACTCTCTGTCACTGCTCAATGGGAGGCCTGCAGACACCATCCAGCCACCCTGCCACATTTGTGGGCCTGGGACTGGGACAGGAGGGAGTCAACACCTTTGGGACAATCTTTGAGCAAGGAAAGTTGAGCCTGGGAATAAATACTCCTCCTTCTCTTGTGAATAATCTTCAAGTACACTTGAGAAGGTTTCTCAGAGGATCTGCAGTGGGCTAGGTCCCTAACTGACAATGAGAGAAACCAGCTCAATTGCACTCTGTTGAGTTGGCTTCCCTTCTTCCCCACGTCGCTCTCCCAAACACCTCCTCCCCCACTGCTACTCCTTGGGTGCATTTTCCTAAGTGCACTGGCTGCACCAGGCCCTAGTCTCAGGCCATGCTTTTCAAGCTAAGACGGTAGGCATGACTGTGAAAGCAGTATGGTGCATAAGCGGTCCACGGCCCAAAGCCAAAGCCACAGCCACATTACCACACAGAGCCCCCAAAGAGGGAAACTGATTTCAACACTGTATATTTTGCTAATATGTGCCTGCTACTTACAGTATCAGCCACAACTGAATGTCCACAAATTGCAGGCTTGCAAAATTCAAGTGAGTTTGGCAAAAGGAGGAAAGCACTTACAAGTGTTCCAAAATGGGTAAGAGGAAAATTACCATGATTAGGAAAGAGATTTAGCATATCCCTCTTTTAATTGAGTTTAATGGAGTTTCTCCTTCCAAACTAAAATGTTATTTTAAAATGTGTTGGTGCCCTTAAGAAGGAATCCTCAGTTTAATTCCCTGAATTTCATTTCTCAGTGGAAAACTGCCTATGTTTCACACAAAGACATCTGCAAACATTCACACAAATGTGTTCATAGGAACATCCTGAGACCAACAAGGAGCCAGCCTTGTTCTGGTCATAACATGTCCTCATTTAATGTCATTGGAAAAAATAGCTCTATCACAATGAAAAGGAATATCACAAGAACATCTGGAAAAAAACTATATTCTTAAGTGATATATTTGAGTTCCAATTTTTGTTTTTAATTGTTTTGAGGGTTGGCCCACAATTTAAAAAAAAATAAAAAGAGAGATGATAAAAGGACTCTGTCAAAAACCTACTTTAAATACTTTTAAGTGTTGATCCAAGGAGAAAAGAAATGAACGAACCAGAGATGAGAAGGCAATAAAGATGCTGATATAACGACAGAAAAAGTGCTGGATAACCAATGAATAGGTCCAAAAACTAAAACAAAGAGAGGCGGGAAGGAGGTGGAGAAAGGGAGAGGAGACTTTAGATCTAATTTCCTAACTTCCTAGTTCCTAGGACTGTTATTGGAAAGGAGTCCCAGTCCACACCCTAAGAGAGGGTTCTTGGACTTCACACAAGAAAGAATTCAGGGTGAGTCCATACAGCAAAGTGAAAGCAAGTTTATTAGGAAAGTAAAGGAATAAAAGAATGGCTACTCCACAGGCAGAGCAGTGGCATGGGCTGCTAAACTGAGAATACTTATGGTTATTTCTTGACTTATGCTAAGCAAGGGGTGGATTATGCATGAGTTTTCTGGGAAAGGGGCTGGGATTTCTGGAACTGAGGGTTTCTCCCCACTTTAAACCACTTAGGGTAACTTCCAGATGTTGCCATGGCATTTGTAAACTGCCAAGGCACTGGTGGGAGTGTCTTTTAGCATGCTAATGCATTATAATTAACGTGTAATGAGCAGAGAGGACGCCTAGAGATCACTTTTGTCGCCATCTTGGATTTGGTGGGTTTGGCAGGCTTCTTTATCACATCCTGTTTTATCAGCAAGGTCGTTGTCACCTGTACCTTGTGTCGACTTCCTATCTCATCTTGTGACTAAGAACGTCTAACCTCCTGGGAATGCAGCCCAGGAGGTCTCCGCCTCATTTTACCCAGCCCCCATTCAAGATGGAGTCGCTCTGGTTCAAACGTCTCTGGCAGGACTAGGAAGGCAAAATAAGCTGCTGCTTTCTGTGGTATAAAATAATAAATTCTAAAAATCCAATCTATTCTAGAATGTCTTTTGTTTTAAGGCATTATTAAAAAAAAACCCAGCACCTCCAGATTCAGATAAGCTGTTTGTCTGTATTAAGGAAATAAATACAGGTTAGTTGTCACCTACAGGAACTGCAAGAGAATGGGACACAAGGCATGTAAATTTTGATCATTTTGATTATCACCTAGAAGGCAAGAGCACGGACCTAGGAAAGGACATTCAATAGTTCAGTAGAGAATCCTGGTTAATCAAAAGGTGGCATGATATCATAAGTGACTGATAGAGAGCTCACATATGGAAATTTAGTATATGAAAAAAGTGACATTTCAAATAAATGGGGAAAAGATAAATTATTCAATACACGGTATTAGAACAAAGAGGTAGCCACCTGGAAAACATTAAAATAAACCCACATCACCTTCCTTGAACCAAAATAAATTTCAGAGAGAAAACATATTTCAATGTAAATAATAAGACCATAAAGTATTAAAAGGAAACGAAAAAATTTAAATAGTTATGGAGTGGGCAAAGATCTTTCCATGACTCAGAACACAGAAATATAACAAAGATAAATTTAAGTGTATAAAAGTAATAAATTGGGCACAACAAAGAAAAAACATTAAAAATTGAAAACAATCAACAAAAATATTTGCAACTCATACCACAGATATTAAGGTAATCTCCTAAATATATAAAGACTTACAAATGGTTCTCAGATACATAAAAAGATGCTCAACCTCTCTCATATTAAAAGAAACACAAAATAAAACCATCAAAAGAAATAGCTTGGCAGCTAAGGATAAAGCAATTACGGGACTTCTCAAACCTAACATCTTAAAAACCACCTGGAGATATTATTAACAGTCAGATTCTGAAGGAGGTCAGTGTGGGGCCTGAGAATTATATTTCTAACAAGCTCCCTGCTGATGCTTATGCTGAGGGCCTACCAACACTCTGTGGAGCATGCATTGCTGGAGGGCATATAAATTTGGACAATCTGTTTGGAAGGCAATTTGGTAATATCTTTCAAAATAAAAAGTATACATCTTTGTCAGCAATTCCACTTTAGTAATTATCCTATAATAGATTCATATATGCAAAATTATATGTGAAAAAGAAAATTTACTGCAGCATTTATTAATAATAGCAAAAAATTAGAATCAATATAAATATCCTTCGACAGGGGAGTATTTAAATACATAATCTATTGAGAAAAGAAAAGAACTTTTATCTGAGGAATGCAAGTCTTTTTAATTATCAGGCCCAGAGAGACATTAAAATAAAACCAAAATCACACCCTGATATGGTTTGGCTCTGTGTCCTCACTCAAGTCTCATCTCAAATTGTAATCCCCACATGTCGAGGGAGGGAGGTGATTGGATCACGGGGGTGCTTTCTCCCATGCTGTTCTTGTAATAGTGAGTGAGTTCTCATGAGATCTGATGGTTTTATAAGTATTTGGAAGTTCCTCCTTCACTCTTTTCTCCATCCTGCCGCCTTGTGAAGAAGGTGCCTGCTTCCCCCTCCACCCTGGTTGTAAGTTTCCTGAGGCCTCCCCACCCATGTGGAACTGTGAGTTAATTAAACCTTTCCTTTATAAATTACCCACTCTCAGGGAAGTTCTTTACAACAGTGTGAAAATGGACTAATACACACCCTATTCCTTCCTTTGAGCTATGTATTCATCTGTTGAAACTGCTTGCTATTGCCACAAGTAGCTATAAATTAACCTAATAATGCCACACTGGACACAATAACCATCACTCTATAGCAGGGGTGTCCAATCTTTTGGGTTCCCTGGGCCATGTTGGAAGAAGAATTGTCTTGGGCCACACATAAAATACACTAACACTAATGATAGCTGATGAGAAAAAAAATCACAAAAAAAATCTGATAATGTTTTAAGAAAGTATGAATTTGTATTAGGCCTCATTCAAAACCATCCCGGGCTGCATGCAGCCCATGGGCCACGGGTTGGACAAGCTTGCTCTATAGCTTAACAATGTATAGCCAATCATTAGCCAATGTTATTTCTGTAAACCAATGAGAATTCCTGACAAACAACTTCGTATCAGCCCACTCACTCCCTGCACCTCCTTTTTGCCTTTAAAAATCCACACGTGGCCAGGCGCAGTGGCTCATGCCTGTAATCCCAACACTTTGGGTGGCCGAGGTGGGTAGATCACCTGAGGTCAGGAGTTCGAGACTGCCCTGGCCAACTTGGTGAAACCCTGTCTCTACTAATAATACAAAAATTAGCCAGGCTTGGTGGCGCGCGCCTGTAATCCCAGCTACTCAGGAGGCTGAGGCAGGAGAATCGCTTGAAACTGGGAGGCAGAGGTTGTGGTGAGCCGAGATTATGCCACTGCACTCCAGCCTGGGCAACAAGAGTGAAACTCCATCTCAAACAAAAAAAAATACACATGTAACTACTGCTGATCTGAATGTACATTCAGGACAGCTTGAATTCATGCTCCCAGGTTGCAATCCTCAAGCTTGGCCTCAGTCAACTGTCTGCTTACATTAATTTTGCCTCAACTTCATTCTTTCAGGTCAACACCATACAATTGAATATGCAGATGAGAGAAATAATAAGGCTAATGCTGATGTGGAAAAATCTCCAAGATAGTTTAATTATGTAAAAAAGATTCAAAATAGGTGTGTAAAGAAAATCTACATTTGTGTGTGTGTGTGTGTGTGTGTGTGTGTGTCTGTGTTTCATTGAATGGGCTTCATGAAGTTAACTCTTCTCTCTCCATTACCTATTTAAACTTGCTATACGATCTTGTCCTTTCTCTGCTCATAGACAAAATCTCAGACAAACTCCATAACTTTTCCAGACACACATCTGCATGTGCTGCACGTGCACACACACACACACACACACACACACACACACACAGTGAAGTGCTGTTTGCCTCAACTTCTTCATTTCAGGTGGCACCACACAATTAAACATGCAGATAGGAGAAATAATAAGGCTAATGCTGATGCAGAAAAATTGCCCTCTTTCTGTCTGCTCTGCCACTGCAGGAAGATACCACAGCTTCCTATCCCTCAACTGCTTACACACCAACCCTCAGGTATCATCCACTTGTCTCTCAAACTCTAGGAGACACATCAAGCTCTCCAAGTGTACTGTTTGAAGCTCCTCTCAGGTAAGGCAGAAACTTTTATCTTGTTTAAGCTACTACCTCTGGAGTCTCTGCTACTTGCTTCATTGCAATAGATGTAGGTCTAGATCCTGTAACCATAACAGTTCAGTTGCCTGATGTGTGTCGCAAGTCAACACACTGAGACACCGCATTACAGCAGAGAAAGAGGTTTAATTGCAGGGATGCCAAATGAGGCCATGGGAGGAAACCACAAATCTGTCTCCCTGTGGAGTTTGGGGCCAGTGTTTTCAAGGGTTTCGGAATGGGTGGAATCATGGAGACTGTTGATTGGTCAAAGAGTATAGAGTGAAGTCATGGGACAGGGAGATGAAGAAACTGTTGTATTAATCCATTTCCATGCTGCTGATAAAGACATACCTGAGACTGGGCAATTTATAAAAGAAAGAGGTTTAATTGGACTTACAGTTCCATGTGGCTGGGGAAGCCTCACAATCATGGCGAAAGGCAAGAAGAAGCAAGTCACATCTTACATGGATGGCAGCAGGCAAAGAGAGAGAGCTTGTGCAGGGGAACTCCTCTTTTTAAAACCATCAGATCTTGTGAGACTTATTCACTATCATGAGAACAGCATAGGAAAGACTTGCCCACGTGATTCAATTCTCTCTCCCACCAGGTCCGGCCCACAACACGTGGGAATTCAAGATGAGATTTGGGTTATACAGCCAAACTATATCAACTATATTCTCATGCTGATCCCATTCCTCTGTGGGGGTCTTCAAGCTGGCTGGTGTCAGCCTGTCAGCTATTTCATTGGAATTCGAGATCTGAAAAACATCTTAAGCAATTCTCAAACAAAAGCCTTATGATTCTGTCAGAAATCCTATCTGTAGGAATAATGGGGATGCAAATAGTCAATATCTAGTGCTACCTGACTGTTGGTTACAAGGAAGTGAGTCAAAGTGCAGCCTGATTTTTTTTTTTTTAAGAGACAGGTTCTCACTATGTTGCCCAGGCTGGAGTGCAGCAGCTATTCACAGACACAATCCCAGTATTGATCAGCATGGGAGTTTTGACCTGCTCCAAAAATACAGTCTGATTAATGCTTAATTAGAATTATATTTCTGTCCAGAATTCTTGTTAACCCTGTAAGGACGGCTTCTATCCTATTGACATAGACCCTAATATTTGGCAGTACAGATATTTTGTTTCACCCTCAAAGTATTGGTCAATGGTCCCAAACTTGAAGATTTTACATAAATCTTCAGATTTCCAAAAGTCTAAAAGATCTGCCAATACAGGGCCTTTGAGATATTTGGCTGAAGCTGAGCTGTGGTTGCCCTTTTAGTGGAAGCCTCCAGATTGCAATGCTCCCAGCACTCCCCCATTGTCCTGGGTCCATTTATTATATCATCGCTGTAGTTTTTCTTCTACCCTCCTATTTCTTTCACTGGTGTCCATTTGAGTTTGTGACTTTTGCCCTGGCCATAGACAGCATTAACAATGAAGCAGAGCAAACAGGTAAAGCTTTGGGCTATCCTACTACTTCTTTCAAAAGTTTTCCCCTGATTTTAACTCCTCTCCCTTCTCTTCAAATCCAGAAAGTTAGTGTTTTCTTACTGTCCCAAGTTTTCTTTGCCTGGAAGAAAGAAATGTGGTCATCCTATTCACACTAAATTGTTAGTGATTTAATATGTCCTTTTGGGGAAAAAATAGCCAGGATTTGCTAACCTTTCCAAATCGTAAAATTCCAGCTATTTTGGCATTTGGATGAGTGACACATTTTGGGGTGGTACACTTCTCTATGACCCTTCAAACCACAGCTTGTGGACAATTACTCCTTCTCCATTTTATGTCAGCCAGCAAAAATGTTTGCCAAAATGATCAGAACAGCTGTTCATTTTTGCTTGTCAGGGTAGTGGCTTGCCAGGGAATCCCTGTCCCAGTTGGGTTCTTCCTGGGAGAAATATTTACATAATTTGTTCCTATTCTGGGATGGGGTGCCCTGTGTGTTTTAGCCTACCAGAAGTTTACTATGTGCTAATGGTGTGGTGTGGCTATAAAAAAAAAAGGGGTGTGGCATGGGGAAAGAAAAGAAAATTTGAACATAAACTTAGCCAAATCCATAGATAGAAAAAGCACAGGAAGTTGTTTCACTGTGCTCTGAAATCTTAACTCACATCTGGGGATTTGTACAGATTATTCGGGGCATCCACATTTAGAGA
Source organism: Homo sapiens (assembly GCF_000001405.40). Lineage (NCBI taxonomy): Eukaryota > Metazoa > Chordata > Mammalia > Primates > Hominidae > Homo > Homo sapiens. The sequence goes on from NC_000006.12 coordinate 17,226,257, forward strand.
AGAATGCTGACAAGTCAAGGGCATCCTGAGAGGGGAGAGGTGAAAACTAAACCAAGAGTAAGAGAAGACTAAAGAAGCACTTGGTGGCTGCTTGCAAAGGTTGGAAAGGCTGTCACCAAGAGGAGGAACCACATGGATTAGTTCTTTGTTGTGCCAAAGAACAAACTAAGACCAATGGATACGAGTTAAAGGATGAGAGTGGGAGGAGATTTTGGCTCAGGAAATAAATCTAACAGCTACTAGATAGAGATTGGAGAAAAATGACTTTCCCTTTCACTAAAAATATCCTGAGAGAGGCTGTTTGACCATCTGTTTGGAATGCTATAGAAAGAATCCTTACCCTGGTTGGTGGCCTGATTTGATTTTTGTTGGGACTCTTCAGAGCAAATTCTACGTTTGTATGAATTCTGCTTGCATATCCTAGAGAACATGTAAATCCACAAATGCAGAATAATGTCTCTACCTACTCCATTTGAACTTCAGTATCATCACTTAGGTGCAATTACATCAATGTTCTCTTTCAGACCTAGTATCTGTATTACTGAAGTCAGTGATTTCTGCAGTCTTCTCTTGATGCCCCTTGGGTGAGCATACTTTGTATTCTTTGTTGTCAGTAAGCATGTGAAATAGATTTTCACTCAGCAGGGTTTTTCCTAATTGCTCTTGCAAAGAAAATGATGTGGCCAATTGTTTATTCCATTGATAGCCTTTTTCTGTCCCCAGAATGTGGCCAACATATGTATGACTCACATTCACAGGACAGAAGGATTGTTCTGGCTTGTGCTTCTACTTCTTTTAGCCAATTGGAGAGTTATTTATAAACATTTATTGATTTGGATTCATAAACCAAAGTGAAAAAAAAAATCTTGCAGCACTGGTTGCTATGGTAACTAGCATTTCACACATGTATTCGCCAGCAGCGATGGCTCAGAACAGAAACCCAAAGCCTACCTGTAGCTTCTAACTGCATTTTCACTCCTATCGCATTTTTAACTGAAAATCGGTGACTTCCTCCATCAGTGTCAAGTGGGAGCATGGTATGGAGGCAGGAAAACAACAGCTTTTTTCATTTATTTTTGAGGTGATTTCTGTAGTTTTCTTGGGGTTATTTTCTAGACAGATGTGACTTCTAATCAATGTTGATTGTCAAGAATTAAAGAGATTCCATCGCAAGTTCAGCTCTCTGCCACGTGTTGACGGTGATATGGAAGAAACCTGGGTTCCATTCTTTATCTTCAAGGGAACTTATACTATAGCTAGAATCCAGGAGCACAAATATAAAGCAGCAGGCAGGCTACACAAGAAAAAAAATGTAGTTCAGTGCTAAAATACACAACATACATGATAATAGACGCAAAGCATGCTGGGAGGAGCACAGGTTGCAGAAAGAGACAGAACTACTTTGAACTGTGTGGCCTCCTGTAAATTACATCACTTTCTTGTAAATTTTTACATTTTTTATAACTCATTGAAATGAGAACCATATCAGCTCCTAGGGTACTCCTGTTTTGTTTTGTTTTGTTTTGTTTGTTCTGTTTTGTTTTGTTCTGTTTTGTTTTTTGAGACAGAGTTTTGCTCTTGTTGCCCAGGCTGGAATGCAATGGTGTAATCTCGGCTCACTGCAACCTCCGCCTCCCAGATTCAAGTGATTCTCCCGCCTCAGCCCCCCAAGTACCTGGGATTACAGGCATGTGCCACCACACCCAGCTAATTTTGTATTTTTAATAGAAATGGGGTTTCTCCACGTTTGTCAGGCTGGTCTCAAATTCCCGACCTCACGTGATCTGCCTGCCTCGGCATCCCAAAGTGCTGGGATTACAGGCGTGAGCTACCATGCCCGGCCCCTAGGGTAGTTGTAAGGATTAAATAAGATAATTATATAAAGTACCTAGAATAATATCAGACCCATAGCAGCACTCAGTTAATGGAAATTATTATGTGTGTTGGGATAATTTTTTGAGATAATAAATATGTCTTGTCTTTGCCAGAAGAAGATCCTGATTGTATGGGGAACTAAAGCTTACACAATTTTTTGCCTCTATTTTAAAAATGCAATAAAAACATAAATAGGCCAGGCACAGTGGCTCATGCCTGTAATCCCAGCACCTTGGGAGAACTAGGTAGGAAGACTGAGGCCAGGAGTTAAAGGCCAGCCTTGCCAACACAGCAAGATCCAGTGTCTACAAAAAATAATTTCAAAAAAATTAGCTGGGTGTGGTGTCTTGCTTCTGTAGTCCCAGCTATAGGAGAGGCTGAGGTGAGAGAATTGCTTCAGCCCAGGTGTGTGAGGCTGCAGTGAGCTATGATCACACACTGCACTTCAGCCTGGATGACAGAGTAAGGCCCTGTCTCTAAACAAAATAAAAACTAAACACAAAAATGTATGAATATAAAACCAGCATAAAGAAACATTACAAATTCAAAACTTAAAAAGCTGACAAAACCTAAAAATATAACATTATCTTATTACTTAATTGCATAACACATCTCTCTATTTCTTCCTACACATTCTGACTGTATACTCTTTGACTGCCTCTTCGTATGACATTAATTTTGTAACATTTTCTACAGAACCGGTAGAAAGAAAATTCAGTCATTCTTCTAGCACAGTTCATTGAAGTTTGCTTTTCATTATTGATAGTGGGGATGTATAAGACATGTGACTTCACTTACAGATATACTTGCTATTTATAGTACTCTTCAGGCTTATGACTTACAAACATGGAATTCTGATAAATTCTATTTCATGTGATTGCCATAAAGTAGGAAAAAATATATAGTGCATGTATAATTTTATACACTGCATCATAGAGTGTATTCCAGAGAGAACTTCTTTTTTGACTAGGCACCCATAAGAATCAAATACTCAGCTTACATTTTTCTACATTTGGTGATTGGAAGACTTTTCCACAAGAAACCTTCCGGCTCCATGCATTTCAAACCTTCTCTTCCACCACCCATGTATTTCTGGTTCCAGGAGGGGGACATGTATACCTTAACTGATCCCTGACCCTGCCCAAAGTGTCAGCAGAGCAGGCAAAAGGAGGATTCCTAGCAGCCATTCCTAAACCAGAATGGCCAGCGATAACCTAGCAATATACAGAAGTGACTGCCTACCACATAAATATATTCTACCGAATTTAAACTAAATGTTTTCCCAATGTAACTTCCCCTAACCTGGATCTCCAAAATTCCCACGGTCACCTATCACCACCTAACACTAAAAGAAACAGAGAGTTTTCTAGTTAGTTTTGGTTAGAATATCTTATTTTTGCTAATTTTGCACTGACCACACAAATACATTGCTAGGGCCCTTTCCAGGGCCTTGGGAAGAGCCAATGCATGTGAAGGCCCTAAAGATTAAGCTTCGTTACCTTCATGGAAATGCTTTCTTTCTGCTTTTTAGGCAAAGGGACTTTATTCCACATGTGAGACAGAACACAAGCAAGGGCTCTGAAGAAGCGTAAATATATAGAGAACTGATGGGACCCTTGTCTGTAAGGCTCCTAAAGATCTGACTCCGGAGGACGTTAGAAAGCAGGCAGAGAAAGGGCAACGGGTGAGGGGTGAGAGCTTTTGCCAGGAAAGAGTCAAAATGAAAGTAGTTCAGGCCAGGCACGGTGGCTCGTGGCCGTAATCCCAGCACTTCGGGAGGCTGGATCACTCCTCCCGATCAAGAGGATCACTTGGGCCCAGGAGTTCGAGACCAGCCTGGGCAAAATGGCGAAACCCCATCTCTACAAAAAATACAAAATATTAGCCAGGCATGGTGGCGCATGACTGTAGTCCCAGCTACTCGAGAGGCTGAGGTGGGAGGATTGCTTGAGCCCAGGAGGTTGAGGCTACAGTGAGCTGTGATCGTGCCACTGCACTCCAGCCTGGGTGACAGAGTGAGACCCTATCTCAAAAGAAAAAAAATAAAAGTAGTTTAAAATATGAGTTTCAGTGAATGCCTACTGAGCCTTAGGTATTTGCAAAGGCCTAAAGGAAAACATATAGATTTCAGCAAGAGGCAAAACTCAATATGGCAAAAGAACCATAATAGGTGTTAGTTATCTATTATGATAATTATCTAGATAATAAGATTAGGGAAGTCCCATCTTCTGAGAATATGCTGTTTAAGGTGGACTATGGATCTAAAGACCATTCTATTGAAACACCCTGACAGTGTTGCACTAGAGAACAATCTGTGAGGACTCAAATACAGGAGTGATATGAAAAAATAATTGTAAATGGTGGTCCTGTCAGGACACCAACTCCACCGGAATTTTAAATCAACATCTTGACTTGTCCTAGGAAGTCAAGATGTGAATGACAGAGGCCAGAGAGAAATCCTGCTCTCATAGCCAGTTCAGTTCGCATTCATTAATGTCTCCCAACCATCATCAAGAATATTCCAGCTTGGGCTGGGCACGGTGGCTCACGCCTGTAATCCCAGCACTTTGGGAGGCCAAGGCAGGCAGATTACAAGGTCAGGAGTTCGAGACCAGCCTGACCAACATGGTGAAACCCTGTCTGTACTGAAAATACAAAAACTAACTGGGCATGGTGGTGCGTGCCTGTAATCCCACCTACTCAGGAGGCTGAAGAAGGAGAATCGCTTGAACCCAGAAGGCAGAGGTTGCAGTGAGCCAAGATCATGCACTGCACTCCAGCCTGGGTGACAGAGCGAGACTCTGTCTCAAAAAAAAAAAAAAATACAACAACAAAAAAGAATATCCCAGCTTGAAAAGAGCTAATGCATGCTGGGCTTAATACCTAAGCGATGGGTTAACAGATGCAGCAGACCATAATGGCACATGTTTACCTATGTAACAAACCTGCACATCCTGCACATGTACCCCAAAACTTAAAAAATGAAATAAAAAAATAAAAAAAGAATATTCAGCTTTTCTGATGGACCATTGCATTGTTTCCTGAGGGTTACTAGACAGCGACCAAAGGAGAAACAGGATTAGCCAAAGAGTGCCTAGTTACAACAGGCAAAGGGGAGAGAAATAAGAAATTATCCACAAACAAAGGAAAGAATTAACCAGAATAGTTGGCTGTAAAGGCCTTCTAATGAGAAGGAGAGAGCAGCAAGGGCCTAGATTCAGGTTCTTTTGAATATTGAAAGAGAGATGGGCATATTTTGTGCCCTAAGTCAGTGAGGCAGAATATATTAATTTTATGTGTTGGCCAATATGCTTGGATTTTAAATTGCTTACTTATTTATTCAGTAGCTATTGACTGAGTATCTATGTGCGCATGTCTATAAGCACTATTGTTGGTGAGGGAGAAAGCAATGTTCAAGACAGACAAGGTTCCTGTTTCCATAGAGCTCACATTTCCGTCAGAAAAAGAAGGGAAATAAAAAATGTTAAAGCATAATAATTTCAAATACTAAGTTGCTATAAAACTATAAAAGGGGGCCGGGTGTGGTGGTTCACACCTGTAACCCCAGCACTTTGGGAGGCTGAGACAGGCAGTGGATCACCTGAGGTCAGGAGTTGGAGACCAGCCTGGCCAACATGGTGAAACCCCGTCTCTACTAAACATACAAAAATGAGCCGGGGATGGTGGCACGCCCCTGTAATCCCAGCTACTTAGGAGGCTAAGGCAGGAGAATCGCTGGAACCTGGGAGTCAGAGGCTGTAGCGAGCCGAGATCGTGACACAATACTCCAGCCTGGGCAACAGAGCCATCTCAAAAAATAAATTAATTAATTTAATTTAATTAAACTATAAAAGAGGTAATCAAATAGAGTTTGTGCCACGGGAGGAAAGGACTCAGCTATTTCCCCTTGGATGATCAGAAAAGGTCTCCGTGAGAATAGGATGAATGAGCTGAAAGATAGGAAAGAGTCAGCCATCCAAACGTTTGAAGTAAAGCATGTTTGACAGAGAGAGCAGCAAGGACAAGGGCCCTGAAGCTGGAGGATCAGAAAGAAGAACAGGGGGGCCAAGTAGAGTGTAGAGAGTGCAAGGGAAGGAGTGCTCATGGGATGAGGGTGCAGAGGGTAGGCAGGGGCCATCAGGTGATTTACAACCTGGTAGCCATGGTAAAGAATTTGGGTTTCCCACTTTTCATCTAGGGACTTAAAAAAAAAATCTGGATTTTAGTCTAAGTGCAATGGGGAACCACTGCACGTTCTGAGCAAGGGAGTCACATGGTCTGACTGACGTTTTCTTTTTCTTTTTTTTTTTTTTTTGAGATGGAGTCTCGCTGTGTCGCCCAGGCTGGAGTGCAGTGGCATGATCTCAGCTCACTGCAAGCTCCTCCTCCTGGGTTCACGCCATTCTCCTGCCTCAGCCTCCCGAGTAGCTGGGACTACAGGTGCCCACCACCACGCCTGGCTAATTTTTTGTATTTTTTAGCAGAGACAGGGTTTCACCATGTTAGCCAGGATGGTCTTGATCTTCTGACCTCGTGATCCGCCTGCCTCGGCCTCCCAAAGTGCTGGGATTACAGGTGTGAGCCACCGCGCCCGGCCTTTTTTTTTTTTTTTTTTGACACAGTCTTGCTCTCTTGCAAGGCTGGAGTGCAGTGGTGCGATCTCGCCTCACTGCAACCTCTGCCTCCCAGGTTCAAGCGATTCCCCTGCCTTGGCCTCTTGAGTAGCTGGGACTACAAGCGCACGCCACCACACCCGGCTAATTTTTTGTATTTTAGTAGAGACAGGGTTTCACCATGTTGGCCAGGATGGTCTCGATCTCCTGACCTCGTGATCCGCCCACCTCGGCCTCCCAAAGTGCTGGGATTACAGTCATGAGACCTCATCTTTACAAAAAAAAAAAAAAAATTAGCCAGGCATGGTGGTGCACGCCTGTGGTTCCAGCCACTTGGGAGGCTGAGGTGGGAGGATTGCTTGAGCCTGGGAGGTTGAGGCTACAGTGAACCAAGATTGCATCACTGTATTCCAGACTTGGTGACACAGCAAGACCCTGTAGCAAAACACACACACACACACACACACACACACACACACACACACACACACACACACAAAAAAAAAAAAAAAAACAAAAAAAACAGAAGAAGAAGAACAACAACAACAACAACTAGCTGGCAATACACAAAGGAAAAATAAAACAAAAACCAAAAAGTGATTCTGACTATTGGGAATGGACTATAGAGGTCAAGAGTGGACACAAGGCAACAGTAATATAGTGGAAGCCACTGAAGTCATCCAGTCAAGACATGATAGTGTTGTGGCCTAGGGTGGTGTAGTAGGGTGGTTGCATGAATGGCCCCAATTCATGGCCTTCTGGTATCCAAACCCTTTGGTCTATAATTTATAGTTCCCTTCCATTCTGACTCTGGGCTTTGAGCAATGTAATACAGGTACAAGTGGGGGTGTGCAAAGGGCCTGTGCATTAGGGATCAATCTCTTGCAAATGACTCCAGCTTGCTCTTGAAGTTCGGCTATGCCAAGAGAACAGGCCCAGGCTAGCTGCCTGCTGGAGGAGGAGAGACCACATGGAGCAGAGCTGAGTCATCCCAGCTGAGGCATCCTAGAACAGCCAGCCTCTAAGCAACTCTCTAGGTGAGTGTGGATGCATGAGCAAGCCCAGCCAAGACCAACGTAGAGTGCTTGTTACTCAGCTTTAGACAACTGATATAAATTATAGAAAAGATATGAAGAAAAACTTTGGGTCTGGAATATATTTTGGAATTAGAAGGTGGAACTGCTGACAATTAGGATAGTTATTCATCCTCTGGCACATGTAATTCAACATATCAAAATGATTTGAATCTAGCAAAAAAACATATATTCTGTAATCTTGATAAACAACCCTTTTTTTTTTTTTTTTTTTTTTTGAGACAGGTTCTCACTATGTTACCCAGGCTGGAGTGCAGTGGCGCAATCATAGCTCACTGCGGCCTCAACCTCCTGGGCTCAAGTGATCTTCCTGAGTAAATAGGACTACAGGCATGTGCCCCTATGCCTAGCTATTTTTTTAAATTTATTTTTTATGGTGATCAAGTTTCACTGTTTCCCAGGCTGGCCTCAAACTCCTGGGCTCAAGCAATCCTCCTGCCTCAGCCTCTCAAAGCACTGAGATTACAGGCATAAGCCACCACACCCAAACAGCACATTTTTAATCACTAGTATTTCCATCCATTCTGGAAATCCAGATCAAAGTAAAATCGAGAGTTCCATTTAATTCTGTGATGCTCAACTGTAGTAGTGCAAAGACTTGGAGCAAGCTAAAACTTTGATAATGGGGTAAATCTCTGGGGACTTGGGAGGGTGGGAACTAAAAAGAGGAGGATTATAGAGGAGGGCACAGCTTCTCTAATTGAGAGAACATCATTGTGATGGAAGCACCATTAAAAATTCAATTCATAGAAATTCGGCTATGGTTCCAAGGAAGAGGTGTTGATACAATATTATCCCAAATAAAAGTTATTCAAGAAAATAAAGAAATTGAACAAAAGACCTAGAAATTGGCACTTGACTTCATTTGTTGCTCTGAAAGCCCAGGCAAAATTATATTTCTGGATTCAGCCTGATCAAATCTTCCTGGATCAGTATGTGCCAGCAAAGGAGACTAATATATAGAGGTGGGATTCAAAGTAAGAAATTCCTAGCCCTATTACCAGTTTCTCCAGGGAAATACTTAGTTTCACCTGTGTCTCATATCGAGTTTCCCCAGAAAACACTCAGAGATAGATGTGTGCTTGCAAGAAGTTTATTGAAACATGCTCTCAGGAACAACATCCCTTGAACTGAAATCTCAGAAAACACCACTAAAGAACTTATCCATGTAACCAAAAACCACCAGAACCCCCAAAACTACTGAAATAAAAAATTTTTAAAAAAGAAACAGCACCCTTGGGAAAGGAAAGAAAGCCAGATTGGGCAGCGGAGAAATTGCACTTGTATTGAGGTTGTAATAAAGCCTTCAGTCAATCTCAGGGAAAGGCTTGAAGCTTAGATGGTCCTTCTAAGATGCCCTCACTGAGGCAAGGGGTCTTGTACTCACTCCAAAACAACAAGGCAGCAGATACAGGCTGACTTTGGAGAGAAGAGTAATCTTGGTGAGATGGCTCCCTTCTGCCAAGAGCAATAACGGAGGAAACACTCAGGTATAATCCCTTAGCAGGCAACACTCCCAGCAGCTGGAGAACACATGCTTTGGTCCTGGAGGGCGAATCTAGGAGCTAACAACAGTGTCCACTACAATCCATCAAGCAAGGACACTCATGTTTTCATCCCACCTCACTGAGAGGGAAGATACAGAAATTCACTCAGGGGGGACCATTAACAATGCCTTTCCATGACCTTGATGAGGTCACTGTCATGCCACAATGAGTTGAGAAACTGAGAGATGAGGAAGCAAAGGCAGAAAATATAAGCTTAGTTATGGGGGAGGGGGTGGAGAGAAGGAGAAAAGCTGGCAGTGACTGCAGAAGAAAGAAGAGAAGCAGAGAAAATTTTTATTGTTATTTTTTGAATGTTGGAGAGATTTGATCATGTTAATGGAATGAGGGAAGAGTTAAATAAAAGTACTGAAAATACAGAAGAGAAAAAATAATTGAGAAAACAAGTGTCAAAAAAACAGAGACAATTTAGAATGGAAAATTCCTGTAGAGATGAGCTTTCTGAGAGGAAAGAGGAGAGATGGCTGCAGAGACTCTGGAGAGAGAAAAGGTGAAGGAATTCAGGGTGGCCAGGTAGTGGGCTTTATTATTCTCATGGAAGCAGGGGTCTAAGTCTTCTGCTAAAAGTGACAGGCTCAGGGTAGATTCAGGATTTGAGGTAAGGAATGATATTCTGAAGTTGTTGCCTTGGGAAATGGGTAAGTTTGTTGGACAACAATGAGAAAACCAGAGAGGCTAGAAATTATATGATGGTCATGGAGACAGTCCGGACTCAGTTTTTGGCTTAGGTTTTGCTTTTGACTGGGATTTTTTCCCCGCTGTGGCATATTTCACCTCAGGGACAGGAATGGAAGACATGTGCCGATGCTGGATTGGCTGATGTGGTAGCATCACAGGGAAGAGAAAACTATGGGTGGTGATGAGCACTTGCTTAAAATAACTGAAGACAGCTAAGAAGGAAAGCCCGGCCAGGAGTGGGGTTTGTCAACTTGGATAACTGGCTGGGACCAGGATAAGGAGAGGTTTAGTGGAAGTAAAAGACAGCACGTTGGGGCCGGGTGCGGTGACTCACACCTGTAATCCCAGCACTTTGGGAGGCTGAGGCAGGTGGATCACCTGAGGTCAGGAGTTTGAGACCAGCCTGACCAACATGGAGAAACCCCATCTCTACTAAATATAAAAATTTAGCCAGGCATGGGGGCACATGCCTGTAATCCCAGCTACTTGGGAGGCTGAGGCAGGAGAAGCACTTGAACCCGGGAGGTGGAGGTTGCAGTGAGCCGACATTGTGCCATTGCACTCCAGCCTGGGCAACAAGAGCAAAACTCCATCTCAAAAAAAAAAAAAGTCAGCACTTTGGTATGGTGGCCAGACAGGCGGTGCTGCTGAAGTGAAGTGAAGGTAACCCCCCTCGCCCATCAGGAATTTTATCTCCAGCCTTGTCAACAAACAATCATCTTGGGCTTTAAATCTTCCTGGTCTTGGTGCCTAAAAAGCCAGTAGCCACCTAGCTCATCAGGCCTGTACCTGAGAGTCACACCTCTATTACCCTCTGACTCTCAGATCTCAGTGATCCTTTGATCTCTCCTTCATGTTGCACCCCAATATTCTCCGTTGTCAGAACCATGAGAAGATGACTTATCATACCTTTGTAGATTGTGATGGAAAACCATGGCTTCCTAGTAAAGTGCCACTGGGAAGACTAGCCTTTCCTCTGCAGGATTTTCTTCCATCTCCTCTCAAAACCAGAACCTTTCTTCCCAGGTGCAGGACAAGGAAAAAATGCTCGATGGCAGAATTGATTTTATACCAACACAAAAGTTGTGTGTGTTGAATAAGTGCTTTCCATATGGAATGTGCCCATATGCAACAACGAGTTTGTGTTTAAATAAACTTAGAGACACAGATATACAATAACAAGACATATGTTTCATACTGCATATAGGCATATACATAAATACCCTATTAAGAATTCATTTGAGGTGGTGAAATACTTCTGTTCTATGGGATTGCATCAGACTCAAAGTAATCTTTATTTAAATGATATGAAACAAGGTAACATGAGAACTGCTGTGGATTTTTTGGACACAGCAGTAGAAACCAGAGATGGACAAGGTCATTTAGGTCATTCGGCACCTTAAGTTTCTTGGCAGAGAGGTTCTGCCCAATGCCCTATGCTCACTTACACCTTCCCCAGGTGGGTTTTGACACAAGAAATCAGGCTGCCGACACTTCTTCACTGTTAGTTAGATTTAAAATGCCTCCAAGAAAAGAGAAAGAGGGAGCACACTTCCTTGTAAGGAAGTTTTGGACCAAATGACCCCAACAACCAGCTCACCATTGACCTAAAAACCACAAGCCATCATGAAGGCCTCCCCACTTGCCTTAAAGACCAATAAAGAGAGCATCCCAGGCCTCATAAAAGAGTAGGTAGTTCAACAAGGAGATGCCATAAATAAGTAATTCACTCCAGGTCCAATTTCTTTTGTTGAGTTTAAGTGTTCAAATACCACCTTGTTTTATTAATGCGGGTATCTCATTTCTATTCTCAGTTTCAAACCCAATGGAATCAAAAAACAAAACACAAAAAAACTCTGCATCTGTGAATAGGCCAAAATCCATCAATTTCCCCAATCTCCCCAAAAGTTTATTAATTCAAAATATTAAAGAAAAAGGTTCTCAGGCCAGGCACAGTGGCTCACGCCTGTAATCCCAGCACTTTGGGAAGCCAAGGTAGGTGGATCACAAGGTCAGGAGATCAAGACCATCCTGTCCAACATGGTGAAACCCCGTCTCTAGTAAAAATACAAAAATTAGCTGGGTGTGGTGGTGGGTGCCTGTAATCCCAGCTACTTAGGAGGCTGAGGCAGGAGAATGGCTTGAACCTGGGAGATGGAGGTTGCAGTGAGCCAAGATCGCGCCACTGCATTCCAGCCTGGTGACAGAGCAAGATTCTGTCTCAAAAAAAAAAAAAAAAAAGAAAAAGAAAAAGAGAAAGGTTCTGTTGGTATTCTCTCTAATTTGATTATTTAGGATACACACCTTCCTAGCCTATCTTATTGTTGCTGCTTTGTATTGTCTTATTATGGGAAACCGTATCTGGTTGTATGTAAAGTAGACTCTACCAATCTACGTGATCCACTCTAAGGGAAAATTGACTCTCATCCTTAAGGATGGATCATTCAAATGAGCCCCAGATATGCCTGAGTGATGATAGAGGGGCTCAAGGAGAATGCCTGTTCAAAAGTGAATACCAAGGTTGAATTTAGTTAGCAAATACCAAGGTTGAACTTAGTTAGCTGGAAGAGAGTCGTGGAGGCGCAAACTGGAAGGAATATTAGAGATGGTCTAGTCCAATCTCCTGCTAAAGGCAAGTAAACTGAGGTCTTGGCCACTCAGACTGCTCCAGCACCAGCATAAACTAGTGGCAAAGACAAGAATAAAACCCAGTCCCCCTGGCCCCAAGGCCAACACTTTACAACCTGATGTTCTTAAACAGAAGCCCCCAACCCTAGGGGATATACATTTACGTGCCAGAAAATACTCCAAGCCGTAGCAGAAATATGCCACTTTTTCCTAAATCTTGAATATTATCTCAAGGTGAGGACGTTAAACAAATGCTTTATTAAAAACTAGACATGTTAGACCAGGCTCAGGGACTCATGCCTTTAATCCCAGCATTTTGGGAGGCTGAGGTGGGAGGATTACTTGGGGCCAGGAGTTTGAGACCAGTCTGGGCAACAAAGCAAGGCCCTTTCTCTTCAAACTAATAACAAATAAAGCCAGCTGGGCCTTTAGTTCTAGCTACTTGGAAGCCTGTGGTAGAAGGATTGCTTTAGCTTAGGAGTTTGAGGCTGCAGTGACCTATAATCTTGCCACTGCATTCTAGTCTGGGTGACAGAGCAAGACTATTTCAAAAAAAAAAAAAAAGAAAGAAAGAAGAAGAGGAGGAGGAAATAAAAATGCATTTATTATTCATTATTGCAGAAGAAAACCAAATTCACATGACTTTTTAAAGAGAACACAAATCTCACTGGAAGTTTATGCTTGGGGTAGCCAGCTTCGATGCTCCAGGTACGGTATGTGCTGCTGTGTGTTCACTTCACTGCCAAGGGCACATCATAGACCAGTTTGACAAGCACAGCTTTACCCCATGCTGCCTCCAATGCCCAAGAAATCCCTTCGAGGATCACTTCGGCTAATTTCTTTTTGACCTGACCCTTTTCTCTTGCCTATCCCTACATAAGTAAGTACAAGTGATTCAAACTCATATGTACTGGAATGTACTTTGTTTCCTCCTTCTTGCACAGAGGGGAGAAATGGTCTCAATGTCTTAACACGTGAAATTTGAATCATATTTATGCCTTCTCTGCCCTATTCTTTTTGGACAATAGGCTCATTATAGCAATACTAACTTTTTCAGTTTAATAATACTAAACCTGAAAAGGAATAATGTAGGTATTTTTTAAGAAAACTCTTTTCACTTAATTCTACAGTGCTTTTCTTTTTCTTTTGAGACGGAGTTTTGTTCTTGTTGCCCAGGCTGGTGTGCAGTCGTGCAATCTCAGCTCACTGCAACCTCTGCCTCCCAGGTTCAAGCGATTCTCCTGCCTCAGCCTCCCGAGTAGCTGGAACTATAGGTGCACGCCACCACGCCTGGCTAAATTTTTGTATTTTTAGTAGAGACAGGGTTTCACTGTGTTGACCAGGCTGGTCTCGAACTCCTGACTTCAAGTGATCGGCCTCTCAAAGTGCTGGGATTATAGGCATGAGCCACTGTGCCTGGCCTACAGTGCTTTAATTTTTTTTTTAAAACTTTCCTTTTTCTTTTTGAGATGGAGTCTTGCCCCGTTGGCCAGGCTGGAGTACAGTGGCACAATCTTGGCTCACTGCAACCTCCGCCTCTCAGCATCAAGCCAATCTCCTGATTTAGCCTCTTGAGTAGCTGGGACTACAGGCATGTGCCACCATGCCTGGCTAATTTTCGTATTTTTACTGGAGACAGTGTTTCCCCATGTTGGCCAGACTGGTCTCAAACTCCCGACCTCAGGTGATCCACCCACCTCGGGTCACCCAGTCTGGAGTGCAGTGTTGCAATCATAGCTCACTGCAGCCTCAAACACTCCTCCTGCCTCAGCCTCCCGAGTAGTTGGACCTACAGGTGTGCACCACACCTGGCTACATAGTGCTTTTTCTTAGTTTGCATAACAAAGATGTTACCAAATTTCATATTTACAGTCTCAATTTACTATCACTCCCATATTTTAAAGAGGAAATACAGGCCCCTACAACCCTTAATTTACCCCCTGTCCTGCAAAAGGAGATGCTCTTAGAGTTTAGTAAAAGCACCCGTGGTATGAGGCATGTGCTTCTGAAAGTATAAACCGAGTGTTTAAACACTTTTTATGCCCTTTGCCAAATCTCTTTAGATTTTGTCAGAACAGCTAGAATTATTTAGATAATTCTGATTGCATTTCTGTCCAGAGAAACAGGCTACAAAAATTGATCTGTAAAGTTCCTTTTCACTAGTTAATTTGTGATGCACTATACTGGTGGCTCCAATTCTTCACCTTTCTTCTTACCATGCATTTATCTACACGACCTCACAGCCCTTCTTGTCAAATGGCAGAACATACTTCCTTATCGTTGATTAGGAATTTAGTCATGTGACTTGCTTTGGCGAATGAGATCTTAACAGATGAGCAGAGGCTTAAAAGGTGCTTGCATCTATCTGCTTGCTCTCCTGTGTCTCTGCCATTACCATAAGAAGAATATGCTCAAGCTAGCCTGCTGGACCTAGGAGCAGGATGAAAGACAGATGGAGCAGAGCTACCCCCAGTCAGCCCAAGATAAGTGGGTGTGTACTGCCAAAAGCAGAAGTTGGTTATTTTATGTAAGAACTTTGAATGTTTCATTCTACTGCTACTGGCTTCCACTGTTCTATTAAAAAAATCAACTGTTACTCTTATTGTGTTCTCTCTGGCTGCTTGAAATATTGTTTTCTTTCTCCTTTTTTTCAGCAGTTTCACTGTGATATGTTTAGCTATGGTTTTAGGTTCTGAATGTTTCTTACATCTATGGCTTGATATCTTTTTGGGATTTTTAAAATTTATAAAAAAAAATTCTCAGCCATTATCTCTTCATATATTGCTTCTGCCCCATCATCTCTCTCTTCTCCTCTTCAAAGACTTCAATAACACATATGTTGACCTTCTCACTGTATGCTCTATGTCTCTTACACACTTTTTAGTGTTTTCTACTTTTTGTTTATTGCTGTTCCTCTAAGATTCAGAATAGATATTATCTTCCACTTATAAATTCTCTTTTCTTCTGAGTCAAATCTGCTAATAAACTCATCCACTGAGTTCTTAATTTCAGCTCTTGTATTTTTTTACTTCTAAAATACAATTTGGTTATTTTCATGTTTTCCATTCATCTGTCAAAATTCTCATCTGCTTTTTAAAAATTTACTGAACTTTTAAATCTTATTTAACATTCCATTATCTGTAGGTTTATTTTTTTTTGATTATTTCTCTTGGGTTTTTGTGTTTTTTTGACCATGTTATGTTGTTTCCTCCAGTGATTGGTTAATTTTTGTCATACATGGCACATTAGATGTGAAAAATGGTAAAGATTATTTTAGGTTCTGAATGATGTTACCTTCCTCCAGAGGGTTTTATATTTGCTTGTAACAGGCTAGGCTAAGGCATTAGCAATCCCAAATCACCTTAATCCAATCAAAGATTGAGACTATTCAAAACTGATGTATATTTGGTTTACTCTTTCTTCTAAGATATAGTTCTTTATTCTTTAGGGTCCCAAACCAAGGCTTAGGGAAGAGTTTCCAGGGTATTCTCCACCCTTGGCAGCCCATAATCTCTATATTTTGTCCTCCAAGGTTTATGAGTTAGTGGAGAGCTTTTCTCAGATGCTTAGCTGCCTCTTCTGAAACCAACAGCTATTTGCAAAAGAAAGCAGGCACAAATACCAAGCCCAGCTCTCCAAGTTCCCTCTTTCTTTTGTATTTTAGCCCTATAATCATTTATTGCCTCGGTAGCTATCTTATGTCATCAAACAGGATTTTCCCCCCATGTTCTCTGTTTGTTCTCTGTGGGAAAGAGAAAGAAAAGTTATCTGAGAAAGAATTAAATGCATCAGAAATGTTGGAAAGCAAAAGACAGTGGAATGACATTTTTCAAGTAATAAAAGAAAATGACTGCTAACCTAGTTTTACATCTGGCACCAAAAAATTTCAAAAGAAAAGGTAAAATTAACATACTTCTAGATAAACACAAATGGAGATAATTTGTCATAAGTAAACCCATAATAAAAGACATACGAAAAACGAAAGGAATTTCTTCAAGTGGAAGGAAAATGATCACATATATGTGATCTACATAAATGAAAGAAGAAATGAAAAGCAACAGGAATGGGAAAATGTGGGTAAAGCTATATAAAAATTGACTGTATAAAACGAATAACATTTTATAAGGCTAATTTATAGAGAGAGAATTAAAATGCATGATAGTAATAACACAAAAGGGATGCGGGGACTGGTAGAGTTAAACTGTTCTGAAGTGTTGTTTTTTTGTTTTTGTTTTGTTTTGCTTTGTTTTTTTTCCTGAGATGGAATTTTGCTCTTGTTGCCTAGGCTGGAGTGCAGTGACATGGTGTCGGCTCACTGCAACCTCTGCCTCCTGGGTTCAAGCAATTCTCCTGCCTCAGCCTCCTGAGTAGCTAGGATTACAGGTGCGTGCCACCAAACCCGGCTAATTTTTGTATTTTTGGTAGAGACGGGGTTTCACCATGTTGGTCAGGCTGGTCTCGAACTCCTGACCTCAGGTGATCCACCTGCCTCGGCCTCCCGTGAGCCACCATGCCTGGCCCTGAAGTTTTATCATTTTCTATGAAGAGGTAAAAATATGATTCTATATTAGACTTAAATGAATCAAGGGTACATTCTATAATCTCAAGGATAACCCCTAGTAAAAGAATATAGAACTAACATACCTATGGGTGGTGGAGGTGGTGGTGGTGGTGGCAAAGAGTACAAAGAAAAAAGTAATATTTGATGAGTACAAATGAATGAAAGAAAGGAGAGTGAGGAACATAGAACAGATAGAGGAGAAATAGAAATCATTAATAAAATGGTAAATATAACCCAAATGTATCCATATCTAGAATCACATTAAATGTAAACAGGCTAAATACTCAACTTACAATATTGTCAAATTGAATTAAAATAAATGCAATCCAACTATATGCTACTTTTAAGAAACACACTTTAAATATAAGAACAAAGAAAAGTTGAATAGAAAAGATGGAAAAAGAAATACCATAAAAACACTAAGCAAAAGAAAGCTAGTATTCTAGCATACCAATATCTTGCAAAGTAGACTTTAAGGTAAGAAACATTAGTAGAGATAAAAAGGAACAAAATGATACATAATAATTGTAGATTTTAATACACTTAACATGAATTGAGAATACATAAAGATAATTTTGACAGATATAAAGGAAAAATAAGCAAATCTACAATCATAGTGGGAGAACTTAACTGTCTGTCTCAGTAACTGAAAGATCAAGCAGGAAAAATATCAGTAAGGATATAGAAGATCTGAACAACATGATTGACAAACTTGGATCATTTGGGATACATAGAACACTTACCTACAACAGCAGAGTATATATTTAAATGTATAGAAAACATCTATCAAAATTGACCATGTAGTGGTCCATAAAGCAGGTCTCATCAAAATTCAGAGATTTTAGTTATTCAGGATATGTTTTCTGACCACAGTGGAATGAAACTAGAAATTAATAATACAAATATAACTTTAAAACCCAAATATTTGGAACTTACACAATAAATTTCTATTTCAGGAATACAAGCTTTCAAAAAAAGCCCAGGACCACATGGAGTCAAAGCTGAATTCTACTAGATGTACAAAGAAGAGCTGATACCATTACTGCTGAAACTATTCCAAAAAATGGAGAAGGGACTCCTCCCTAACTCATTCCATGAGGCTAGTATCACCCTGATGTCAAAACCAGACAGAGACACAACAAGAAAAGAAAACTTCAGACCAATATCCTTGATGAACATCAATGCAAAAATCCTCAACAAAATACGGGCAAACTGAATCCAGCAGCACATCAAAAAGCTTATCTACAATGATCAAGTAGGCTTTATCCCTGGAATGCAAGGTTGATTCAACACATGCAAATCAGTAAACGTTATTCATCACATAAACAGAACTAAAGACAAAAAACACATGATTATCTCAATAGATGCAGAAAAGGCTTTTGATAAAATTCAGCATCATTTTATGTTAAAAATTCTCAATAAACTAGGTATTGAAGGAACATACCTCAAAATAATAAGAACTATCTATGACAAATCCACAGCCAACATCATACTGAATGGGCAAAAGCTGGAAGCATTCCCCTTGAAAACTAGCACAAGACAACGATGCCCTATGTCACCACTCCTATTCAACATAGTATTGGAAATCCTGGCCAGAGCAATTAGGCAAGAGAAAGAAATAAAGTGCATCCAAATAGGAAGACAGGAAGTCAAACTGTCCCTGTTTGCAGGCAACATGATCCTATATGTAGAAAACTCCATAGTCTCAGCCCAAGAGCTCCTTAAGCTGATAAACAACTTCAGCAAATTCTCAGGATACAAAATCAATGTAAAAAAATCACTAGCATTCCTGTACACCAACAACAATCAAGCCAAGAGTCAAATCAGGAATGCAATCCCATTCATCACAATTCACACACACACACACACACACACACACACACACACACACTGAGAATACAGCTAACCGGAGAGGTTAAAAGTCTCTACAAGAAGAACTACAAAAAACTGTTCAAAGAAATCAGAGATGACACAAACAAATGAAAAAACATTCCATGCTCATGGATAGGAAGAATCAATATTGTTAAAATGGCCATACTGCCCAAAGCAATTTATAGATTCAATGCTACTCCTAATAAACTACCAATTACATTCTTCACTGAACTAGAAAAAACTATTTTAAAATTCATATGGAACCAAAAAAAGAGCCCGAATAGCCAAGGCAATCCTAAGCAAAGAGAACAAAGGTGGAGGCATCAAGCTACCCAACTTCAAACTACACTACAAGGCTAAAGTAACCAAAACAGCATGGTACTGGTCCAAAAGCAGAACACATAGACCAATGGAACAGAATAGAGAACCCAGAAATAAGGCTTCATACCTTCAACTATCTGATCTTCTACAAAGCTGACAAAAACAAGCAATAGGAAAAGGATTCCCCAGGCTGGGATAACTGGCTAGCCATATGCAGAAGATTGAAACTGGACCCCTTCCTTACAACATATATAAAAATTAACTCAAGATGGATTAAAGCCTTAAATGTAAAACCCAAAACTATAAAAACCCTGGAAGACAACCATTTTGGAATGGAAGGCAATACCATTTTGGACACAGGAATGGGCAAAGATTTCATGATGAAGACACAAACAGCAATTGCAACAAAAGCAAAAATTGACAAATGGGATCTAATTAAACTAAAGAGCTTCTGCACAGAAGAAAAAAAAACCTGTTAACAGAATGAACAGACAAACTACAGAATGGGAGAAAATTTTTGCAAACTGTGCATCTGAAGAAAGTCTAATATCCAGCATCTTTAAGGAACTTAAACAAATTTACACACACACAAAACAAACAACCCCATTAAAAAGTGGGCAAATGGCCAGGCATGGTGGCTCACACCTTAATCCCAGCACTTTGAGAGGCCAAAGTGAGTGGATCATCTGAGGTCAGGAGGTTGAAACCAGCCTGGCCAACATGGTAAAACTTAGTCTCTACTAAAAATACAAAACTTATCCAGGCATGGTGGCATGCACCTGTAATCCCAGCTACTTGAGAGGCTGAGGCAGGAGAATCGCTTGGACCTGGGAGGTGGAGACTGCAGTGACCAAGATTGTGCCACTGCACTCCAGCCTGGGCAACAGAGTGAAACTCCACCTCAAGAAAAAAAAGTGGGCAAAGCACATGAACAAACACTTTTCAAAAGAAGACATACATGTGGCCAAAGAATCATGAAAAAATGCTCTATATCACCTATCATTAGAAAAATGCAATCCAAAATCACAATGAGATACTATCTTATACCAGTCAGAATGACCATTATTAAAAAGTTAAAAAATAGCAGATGCTGGCAAGGTTGCAGAGAAAAAGAAATGCATATACATTGTTGGTGGGAGTGTAAATTAGTTCAACCATTGTGGAAGACAGTGTGGCAATTCCTCAAAGACCTAAAGACCATTCAACCCAGCAAGCCTATTAATGAGTATGTACCCAAAGGAATATAAATCATTCTACCATAAAGAAACATGCATGTGTATGTTCATTGCAGCACTATTCATAATAGCAAATACATGGAATCAATCTAAATGCCCATTGATGGGAGACTGGATAAAGAAAGTGTGGTACATATACATGATGGAATACTATGCAGTCATAAGAAAGAACAAGATCATGTCCTTTGCAGGAACATGGATAGAGCTGGAGGTCATTATCCTTAGCAAACTAACGCAGGAACAAAACCAACACTGCTTGTTCTCACTTATAAGTGGGAGCTAAACGATGAGAACACATGGACACATAGAGGGAAAAAACACACACTGGGGCCTACTTGAGGGTGAAGGGTGAGAGGAAGCAGAGGATCAGGAAAAATAACTAATGGGTGCTAGCTTAACACCTGGGTGAGAAAATAATCTGTACAGCAAACCCCCAAGTTTACCTATATAACGAACATGCACATGTACCCCATAACTTAAAACAAAAGTTAAATTTAAAAAAAAAGAATACAAGGTTGGTTTAAAATTGGAAAATGCACCAATATAATTTACCACATTAATAGAAATAAAAGAGAAAAATTGTACAGTTATGTTGATAGATGCAGAAAGAAGACCTCTGAAAAAATTCGGTGGTGTCAGAGTTCAGGACGTGGGCTATTTTAATAAGTGGTTAGTGGCATCTCATTATTGCTTTAAATTGCATTTTCCTGATATGATGTGAAACATCTTTTCATATGCTTCATATTCTTATCTGCCATCACTATCTCTTCTTTGGTAAGATATCTGTTAAGGTCTTTAGGTCTTTTGCCCCCCCGCCCTTTTTTTTTTTTTTTTTTGAGACAGGCTCTCACTCTGTCACCCAGGATGGAGTGCAGTGGTGTGATCATGGCTCAATGCAGCCTGAACTTCCCGGTCTCAGGCAATTCTCAGCCTCCTGAGTAGCTGGGAGTACTGGCGCATGCCATCATGCCCAGCTAATTTTTGTATTTTACGTAGAGATGAGGTTTCACCATGTTGCCCAGACTGGTCTCGAACTCCTGCGCTCAAGCAATACACCCACCTTGACCTCCCAAAGTGCTCCGATTACAGGTGTGAGCCACCACGCCCAGCTGGCCTGTTTTCTAATTGGGTTGTTTGCTTTCTGAGTTTTAACAGTTCTTTTTATATTTTATCTAACAGTCTTTTATGAGATGTGTCTTTTACAAGTATTTTCTCTTGGTCTATGGCTTGTTCTTATTCTCTTGACACCGTCTTTCACATAGAAGTTTTAAATTTTAATAAAGTCCAGCTTATCAATTATTTCTTTCATGGATCATACCTTTGGTGTTATATCTAAAAAGTCATCACCATTCCCAAAACCACCTAGGTTTTTCTCCTGTATTATCTTCTAAGAGTTTTATAGTTTTACATTTCTACATTTAGGTCCATGATCTATTTTAGTTTTTACAAAGAGTGTAAGGTCTGTGTCTACATTCTTTTTTTTTTTTAATACAGGGTCTCACTTTGTCACCCAGGCTGGAGTGCAGTGGTGCAATCATGACTCATTGCAGCCTTGACCTCCCAGGCTCAAGTGATCCTTCCACCTCAGTCCCCCAAATAATTGGGTCTACAAGCGCACACCACCAAGCCTGGCTAATTTATATATTTTTTGTAGAGATTGGGGCTTACCATTTTGCCCAGGTTGGTTCTTGAACTCCTAAGCTCAAGCAATCCTCCTGCCTCAGCCTCCCAAAGTCCTGGGATTATAGGCATGAGCCACTGCACTTGGCTTAGATTCTTTTTTTTTTTTTTAATGTATGGATATCTAGTAGTTCCAGCACCATTTGTTGAAAAGACTATCTTTGCTCCATTTTATTGTCTTTGCTTCATCAAAGATCAGTTGACTATATTTATGTGGTTCTATTTCCTTTTGTTTGTTTGTTTGAGATGGAGTCTCGCATGGTTGCCCGGGCTGGAGTGCAGTGGCATGATCTTGGCTCACTGCAACCTCTGCCTCCCTGGTTCAAGCAATTCTCCTGTATTAGCCTCCCAAGTAGCTGGGATTACAGGCACCCACCACCACGCCCAGTCAATTTTTTGTATTTTTAGTAGAGACAGAGTTTCACTATGTTGCCCAGGCTGGTCTCAAACTCCTGACCTCGTGATCCACCTGCATTGGCCTCCCAAAGTGCTGGGATTACAGGTGTGAGCCACCATGCCCAGCCTATGTGGTTCTATTTCTAAGATCACTACTCTGTCCCATCAATCTATTTATCTATACTTTCACAAATACCATATTGTCACGATTACTGTAGTTTCATAGTAAGTCAAAGTCAGGTAATGTCAGCCTTCCAATTTTGTTCTTCTTCAATATTGTGTTGTTTATTCTGGGTCTCTGGCCTGTCCATTGTAATTTTAGAGTCAGTTTGTGGACTGATATACACTAAATAGTTTGCTGGATTTTTTGCTAAGATTGCAATTGCTTTGAGTCTATAGATCAAGTTGGAAAGAATAGACATCTTGACAATATTGAGTCTTCCTATACATGAACATGGAATATCTCTCCATTTATTTAATTCTTCTTTGATATCTTTAATCAGAATCTTGTAGTTTTCCTCATATTCCTCATATGTTTTGTTAGATTTATACCTAAGTATTTCATTTGGGGAGGAACTAATGTAAATGGTATTGTGTTTTTAATTTCAAGTTCCACTTGTTCATTACTTGCATATAGAAAAGTGATTGACTTTTGTGTATTAACCTTGTATCATGCAATCTTGCTACAATCTATTTTTAGTTCCTAGAGGGTTTTTTGTCAATTCTTTCATATTTTCTAAATAGACAGTCATGTCATCTGTGGAGAAAGTTTAATTCTTCCTTCCCAATCTGTATACCTTTTATTTTCTTTTCTTGTTTTATAGCTAGGGCTTCAGTATGATGTTTGAAAAGCTGTCTGGTTATTTTTAATTAATAAAATAGAAAAAAATAGAAAGTCTCTTTTTTTTTTTTTTTGAGACAGAGTCTTGCTCTGTCACCCTGGCTAGAGTGCAGTGAGCTGAGATCGTGCCACTGCACTCCAGCCTGGGCGACAGAGCGAGACTCTGTCAAAAACAAACAAACAAACAAAAAACAGCTCTCAACTTTTTTTTTTAACCAGAAGTGCTGCAATATATTTTCTTTTTAATCCCAAAACACTATTACTGCCATCTGTGACACTAAACAAGCCTCCCTCCCCACCAGCTCATATAAACTTACAAGATAAAAATCAACTTTATATTTAGTCTGTGTAAACTATAATTAGGAAGAGTGAAATGTTTCAAGGTGAGTTTATATATTTCTGAACTAATTATAAATAATTTGTATTGCCTTCTCTCTTTTTTTTAATTATTTGAATCATAGTGTCCCTACATCAGGGCAAATGACTGAGAGAAGGCAGTTGCATATTAGTGATAGCACCAATGGCTCGACTATCAAAGACAGGCTATTTGAGTTGAATACTCTGTTTGTGAATCCCCTGGAGAAAGAGGTCCTCAGAAGTGAGGCCTTAGCAAGAATGAACGAAGTGGAGCATAATGAGGGAGGCTTTGTAGTAGAGTCTAATGAATAACTCCTTGACATTCTCTGATCTCTGACATGACAGGCATATGGTGTTTATCAATAAATAAAAAGGATATAATTACGCTGAGGCTGAAGCATTCAGGGATTGGTAACATTTGGTAAGCTGGCAAGCTGTCTGCCCCACTCTTTATCCTAACAGGTGGAATAAAATAAAACGTCTCCATAAAAATCTATTTATAGTACATGATAGTCTTTGGTTGTCTTTAGTTTCCCCAAAGAAGGAGTAGGTCATGCTCTAATTTGCATCCATGGATGTATGTTAGTGTATTATCTAAATGACACTTCAATGTAATCACAAACAGCCCTTAGAACTTTCAATGCACAGATTCTTTTTTAAAATTTCAACTCTTATTTTAGATTCAGGGGATACGTGTGCAGGTGCGTCACATGGGAACACGATATAACACTGAGGTTTGGGGTACTGATGATCCCGTCACCCAGGCAGTGAGCACAGTACCCAAAAGGCAATCCCTCAACCCTCACCCCACTCTTTCCCACCCGCCTCCAGCAGTCGCCAGTGTCCATCGTTCCCATCTTTATGTGCACGTATACTTAATGTTTAGCTCCCACTTAGAAGTGAGAACATGCAGTATTTGGTTTTCTGTTCCTGCATTCATTCGCTTAAGATAATGTCCTCCAGCTGCATCCATGTTGCTGCAAAGGATGTAATTTCATTCGTTTTTATGGCTGCATAGTATTCCATGGTGTATATGTACCACATTTCCTTTATCCAGTCCACTGTTGATGGGCACCTAGGTTGATTCCATGTCTTTGCTATTGCAATACACAGCTTCTTTAAAATATCTCCAGACAGAAGGTTGACATGTTTCATAAGACTAATAATTACATGGTGTCTGACAAAACTAGTACATTGTTTTTGGTTTTGTGTACTCTACAAAAATGTTAATAATAGGCACAGCTTTGTGTTCTTCAACCTGTGGCAGAAGGTGAGAGACACATTGACAAGGAAACTCCAGTGGGAAAGGTAGACAGGACAGGCTTTCTGTCTGCTTCTTTTCTACATGTAGGCTGTGTTTATATAACAGCAAACATTCTGTCAGAAAACAAATGGTTCAACTCAATAAATCACACCAAATGAACCTTTAACTTATTTGTAATCCACAAATTTGCCACAGCTTCTTAGAAAGAAGCCATTGCAACGGTGCCATGCATAAAGCACTTGCTTGGATAGAATCCTTGACATCACCCTTAAATCCTTTCTTTCTCTCACACTCCATTTTTAACCTTTAGGAAATCCTATTGGTTCAAGCTTCAATATACTCCCAAATCTCACCACTCCACATGACTTCTACTGCCACTACCATAGCCTGAGCCCCATCACCTCTCCCTTTGAGAGCTGTGAAAACTTTCTAATGGTCTCTCTGCTTCTATACTTTTATGTATTCCACACAGCAGGTAGAGAGATTCTTTTAAAAAAGACAGCTCAGGTGAGGTCACACCTCTGCTCAAAATCCTGCAATGGCTCCAAAGTCCTTAAAATGGCTCTCCAGGCCCTTGGATCTGGCTTCCCATGTTCTCTCCTCCCACTCTCCCTCTCTTACTCTCCCTCACTTTTCTCAAGTCAACTGATCCCCTTGCTGTTCTTCAAATATTCTAGACACTGTCCCTCAGCCTGGAATATTCTTCCACTGAATTCTGGAGGGATGTGTCATGTGTGTGTGTGTATGTGTGTGTGTGTTTTTTCCAATCTCACCTTCTAATGAGGCTTATGTCTCCACTTACCTATTTAAAATGAGAACCTGTCCTCCACAAATGCACACATCCAGGTTAAGGGATCCTACTTTTTTCTTTCACTCTAAAACATTTATCTTCTAACATACTATATAGTTTACTTATTAACTATGTTTATTGTCTTGTCCAACTCTCTCCTGTAAAATATAAGCTCTGTAAGAGCATGAAACTTCTGTTCACTGAAGTACCCTAAGTACCTAGGTTAGGGTTGACAGATAAAATGAAGTGCACCCAGCAAAATCTGAATTTCAGATAAACAATGAATACTTCATTTTAGAATAAGTATGGCCTATACCATCATTGGTTTATTTATTGTTATCTGAAATTCAAATTTACCTGGGAATACTATTTTTTTTTTTTTTTTTTGCTAAATCTGGCAACTCTAATCTAGAATAATGCCTGGGATCATCATCACAAGAAATATTATATGTGGTCTACTTTTTAAATTAAAATAAATTGGTTTTGTTTAAAAAAAAACTCTAGGAATATATTTAACCAATGAGGTGAAAGATCTCTACAAGGAAAACCACAAAACACTGATGAAAGAAATTGTAGATGACACAAACAAATGGAAAAACATCCTATGCTCGTGGATCAGAAGAAATAATATCATTAAAATGACCATACTGTTCAAAGCAATTTACAGATTCAATGTAATTCCTATCAAAATTTCACATTGTTTTTCACATAATTAGGGGGAAAATCCTAAAATTCATATAGAACCAAAAAAGAGTCAAAATAGTTAAAGCAAGCCTAAGCAAAAAGAACAAAGCTGAAGGTATCACATTACCTGAGTTCAAATTATACTACAAGGCTACAGTAACCAAAACAGCCTGATACTGATATAAAAATAGACACATAGATCGACGGAACAGAATAGAGAACCCAGAAATAAAGCCACATATTTACAGCCAACTGATCTTTGACAAAGTCAACAAGAACATACACTGGGGAAAGGACACCCTATTCAATAAATGGTCCCAGGAAAATTGAATTTGTCACACGCAGAGGAATGACACTGGACCCCATCTCTCACCACATATAAAAATAAACTCGAGATAGATTAAATACTTAAATGTAAGACCTGAAACTATAAAAATACTAGAAGAAGATTTAGGAAAAACTCTTCTGGACATTGGTCTAGGCAAATAATGCATGACTCAAACCTGAAGAGTACAAGCCACAAAAACAAAAATTGGACAAATAGGACTTAATTAAACTAAAAAACTTCTGCACAGCAAAATAAATAATTAATTGCGTGAACAGATAACCTGAATGAGAGAAAATATTTGCAAACTATGCATCTGACAAGGGACTAACAGCCAGCATTTGCAAAGAATTCAAACAACTCAACAACAAAAAAACCCACAAATAATCTCATTAAAAAGTGGGCAATGGACACAAATAAACATTTCTCAAAAGAAGAGAAACAAATGGTCAATGGTCAGCATCACTAATTGGTAAGGTGCATTGGCTCATGCCTGTAATCCTAGCATTTTGGGAGACCAAGGCAGGAGGATACTTGAGGCCAAGAGTTCAAGACCAGCCTGCATAACATAGCAAGAACCCATATCTACAAAAAATAAAAATAAAAATTAGCCAGGTGTGGTGGCACACACCTGTAGTCCCGGCTCCTTGAGAGGCTGAGATGGGAGGATTGCTTGAGCCCAGGGGTTCAAGGCTGCAGTGAGCCATCATTACACCACTGCACTCCACTGTGGGCAACAGAGTGATACTCTGTCTCAAAAAAAAAAAATCACTAATCATCAGATAAATGCAAATCAAAACCTCAATGAGATAGCATCTTACCCAGTCAGAATGGCTATTATTAAAAAGAGAAAAAAAATAACAGATGTTGGCAAGGATGCAGAGAAAAGGGAAAGCTTATATACTGTGAGTGAGAATGTAAAATAATACAGCCTCTACGGAAAACAGCATGGAGATTTCTCAAAGAACTAAAAATAGAACTACCATTCAAACCAGTAATCCTACTACTGGGTATCTATCCAAAAGAAAAGAAATCATTATATGAAAAAGATACCTGCACTTGTATGTTTATCACAGCACTATTCACAATGGCAAGGATATGGAATCAGCCTAACAAATAATAGTCCAACGAATGGACATAGTCTATATATACAATGGAATACTGTTCAGCCATTAAAAAAGAATGAAGCATGTCTTCTGCAGCAACATGGATTGAAATGGAGACCATTATCTTAAGTGAAACAACTCAGACACAGAAAGACAAATACCACATGGTCTCATTTATAAGTGGGAACTAAATAATGCGCACACATGGACATAGAGTATAGAATGATAGCAAAGAATTGGAAGCCGGGGGAGGAGGATGATGAGAAATTATTTAATGGGAAGAGTGTACGTTATTTGGGTGATGGATACTCTAAAAGCGCTGACTTCACAACTATGCAATCTATCCATGTAACAGAATTACACTTGTACCCCATAAATTTAAACTAATAAAAAAAAAGTAAAATTAATTTGCTTTTGAAATTTTAATGGTATTTTGAGCTAACTGAAGATACCCTGGACTGTCACAAGAAAAGTTTTATATCATTGTAGTAAATAACTTTAGGAAAAGTTCATGGCCAAAAACAAAAAAAATCAAATGAAAAAAGCTAAGTACACCATCTACAATGCAATAGCACAAATATATATTAACCAATATTAAGCATTATGCCTTATGATATTGGGCAAAACGAAAATGGAATGTTCCAAAACCAAAAGTAGAAAAATATGTTGGAGAAATCTTATTGCAGTGGAAAGCTAGAGATTGAGTTGAAGTATAATCTAGCATATTATTGAAGAACACATGGATAATGAGAACAAGACCCAGATTACCTCCATATCCAACTTCTAGTTGTCCTTTCCAATTAACTGTTGCCACTCACTACTTATGTGCTCTTGGGAGAGTCAAAGTCAAATAACTCAATTTTATAATAAATGAGTTATCTTTTTATGTAAAAAGTCAGATAACTCACTTTTGTATTAAAATTTGTAACATCCATTCCATCCCTAAAAATCTGCTTCTGTACAAAAGTATGATCAGAAAGTGAAGAGTCTATTTTTACAAACCTACTAGGAGTTATATATGATAATAAATATTATCAGAGTAGTTACCATAATAAGCTGTTCACTTATTCCAAAGGTGATACCAATGCTCAAAACATTTTTGGCACTTCTATTTTGCATTTTCCTTTTAAGAAATACTAACAAATGTTTTCATCCCAGCCAGTAAGAGGCAGAGCTAGGATCTGAACCATGCACTGTGGCAGCACCGTCTGTGATCTTAACATCTGTGCTTAACATCTATTGCTTTGCCCATTTCACCACATGAAGACACAGCAAAAACACAGCCATTTGTGAACTGGTAAGCAGGCCTTCACCAGACGCTGAATCTGCTGCTGTCTTGAGCCTGGATTTCCCAGCCTCCAGAACTGTGAGAAATAAATTTCGGTTATTTATAAGCCACTAGTCTATGGTTATTTTTGTTATAGCAACATGAACAGACTAAGACACCACCTCAGGCAGCTACAGCGTTAAACAATTACCACTGAAAGTTTTTGACAAGTGCCCTAGGAAAAAGGCTGTTTGCACAAAGTTCTGCATGAGGTCAAATAAAGACAAGTTCTGTAAATGGAGGTTTTCAGGGAGCTGCCAGAGAGATAAATAATAAAAAAATCTCTGCAAATCATGCTTTCTTGGGATGCTCCAACACCATTTCGCCCCCTCCAGTGACTGCCGGGCTGCTTTTTTCACGCCTACCATGGCTGCAAGACTATTTGTTTTCAAGGCTTCTATGGAGCTGGGTAGAAGATGAAAATAGGGTACGATAAAATATCACAAAGCATACTCTTGTTATCAAGATTCACTTATTTTTCTTTTTTAACTTTTTTGTTTATATTTTTATTTATTTACTTATTTTTGAGACAGGGTCTCGCTCTGTCACCTAGGCTGGAGTGCAGTGGCGCAATCATGGCTCACTGCAGCCTTGACCTCCTGGGCTCAAGCGATTCTCTCACCTCAGCCTCTTGAGTAGCTGGGACTATAGGCATGCATCACCACATTCAGCTAATTTTTGTATTTTTTATGGAGATGGGTTTTTGCCATGTTTCCCAGACTAGTCTCAAACTCCTGGGCTCAACCAATCCACCCGCCTTGGCCTCCAAAAGTGCTAGGATTACAGGTGTGAGCCACTGTGCCTGGCCACTGTTTTTATTCAATAAACACTCCTCAAATTGTGGTAAGCCTTTGATTAATTTCCAGAGTTCTGAAGAAGTTTATTTTGACAATTTTTGCCAATGTTCTTCTTGCTTTTATGGAAGAACAGATTTTCAAAAGTCCTTATTCTGCCATTCCTGAAGTGCTTCTCCCCTTACAGTATGTTTTTAAACTGGCCAATTTAGACTCTTTGATTCTTCTTGACAAAGACAGATCATGTTTTGAAACTATTGTCCACTCCTTTGATTATTATTATTATTATTGAGACAGAGTCTCACTCGGTCACCCAGGCTGGAGTGCAGTGGCACAGTCTTGGCTCACTGCAACCTCTACCTTCTGGGCTCAAGAAATCCTTTTTTTTTTTTTTTTTTTTTCCGAGATGGAGTCTTGCAATGTCACCCGGGCTGGAGTGCAGTGGCGTGATTTCGGCTCGCTGAAACCTCCACCTCCCAAGTTCAAGCGATTCTCCTGCCTCAGCCTCCCAAGTAGCTGGGATTACAGGCGCCCGCTACCACACCCGGCTAATTTTCTGTATTTTTAGTAGAGGCGGGTTTTCATTATGTTGGCCAGGCTAGTCTTCAACAAATTCTTGGGCCTCAGCCTCCCAAGTAGCTGGGACTACAGGTGTGAGCCACCACACCCAGCTAATTCTTATATTTTTAGTAGAGATAGGGTTTCACCATGTTGGCAAGGCTGGTCTCAAACTCCCGACCTCAAGTGATCTGCCGAACTCACACTCCTTTTAATACATTGCACATTTTACACTATCACAGACAACTTCTCCAATAGAATACTTTTCTGTTGGGACCCACCCTTTGGTTTTGACATGTGCAGATGGATAATACTAAACAGCTAATTGATTTCCATGTGAGAAGAAAAATCAGTCCTTTCTTCCTACATTTTAGCAGCTATTTATAGTTTAACACATATTTCTCACATAGTTTTTCTGAAATCTTCATTTTCTATCCCTTTCTTCCTGAGCTGAGCCTTTGCTGTGCTAAAATATAAAAGAGCACAAGTATAGCCACCTAATATTAGTAAAAGTGTAGCAGAGAAATCAGGATACATTAGACACCAATCACTTCAGAAAAGTTCTTCTTTGCCTTAAAGCAGTAAGACATAAAGTAAGGTCAAGCAATCTATCTTTTTAAACCCATCTTGTCTATGGGTGAATATGATTAGAAGATACTGCAAACCTTAACCGATGTATTTTGGCATTTAGAAAAGAGCATTTTTACACACGCGGGATGGTTCCAGGAAAATGAAGAGGTAGATTCAAGTTTCTAACATTTCAAAAATTCTTCAAACCTGTGATATTTTACTAGTCAGAAGTATTTTATTCTTCCCAAACTTACCTTGGGAATTTAGCTGAGATGATGACATCTCAATGTCAACAGGTTAAAAAAAATACATAGGCCATAGATATAAAATATATACTCTCTTCTTACCAAGATTCACCTATTTTTCTTCATTAAACACTCCTCAAATTATTGTAAGACTTTAATTAATTTCCAGAGTTCTGAAAAAGTTTGACAATTTTTGCCAATGAACGTTCTCCTTGCTTTTATGGGAGAATAAATTTTCAAAGGTCTTTACTCTGCCATTCCTGAAGTGTTTCTCCCCTTACAATATGTTCATATATATACATATATATATATATATACACACACACACACACACATATATATACACATACATATGTATATGTATATTAACATATATATGTTCATATATAAGTATATATATATTTAAATCAGTGTATATTTATAATCAACAGGTTAAAAACAGATTCTTAGAAGTGTAAATATTTAATTCCCATAAATGTGTATATTTGGGCCTAGGCTAATTTATTTTGATATATAGAATTACATTATTTCTTGCAAAGTATAAGGCAGCCTAAGAAAATATTTATTTGCTTTTTCTATGTGAAATTACTTGTTGGTCTTTATTTGGTAAAAAAGAAAAAATAAAAATGATAGTTTTTCACCCATTAAGTGTGAAAGACAAAGGAAAAGAAAAGTTGAAATTAGAATTAAAATTAGACTAAAAAATCATTTTTCAAGCTGTAGAGGGAAAACATCTCAGTAAACATCTCCCAAAGATTAGAAAAATATCCAACTGTGCAGTTAGTTACTTAGCTTAAATAACTTTTATACCACTGATTCATCACTTGAATTGTCCTTTTAAGTTAGAAGAAACACTGCTTTAATTAACATATCCTATACTGAGATGAGTTCTCAGTGTAAGTTGAAAATGACACTGTTCCATATACAAAGGGGGCCAAGTATTTTCATGCAGTGTAGTATAAATAGAAACAGAACAGATAAACCAAAATAATTTCCATAACATGTTTGGGTTATTTCACTATGTTTTGTGAGAATAATCAGATGAATTACTTTACTTTGTAAACAGAAAGAAATAGATATTATATCTTAATCCTAAGTATACATATATACATGTGTATACATTGCTTTCACTGTTCAGCAGATTTAAAACATAGTACAGAAAGATTCCTTGCTTTGCACAAGAGCCCTTCGGAATCACTGCAAGAAAATGACAGAAACCCTGATTGTGTTTTGACTCTTCGGTATGCTTTTTAGTTAATTTATTGGCACTTGTCTCTTTGGCAGAGCCTGCTGAATTGCTTTCTAAATGGAGTACTTGAAGCATATAGATAGACTGCCTGCTTTCCTTAATTGACACTCCTGCACTTCATCAACTGGTCGCTACGCTGTCTCTTCTGTTTTTCCCTTCTAGGTTCTGTTCCAGATTTCTGGCATGCCTCTCACAACAAGCATATATACCTGTAGTTATGCAGGAATATTGCTGGGTGAGGAAAGAGAAATATTCAAATGTCAGAGAAAAAACATCTGGAACATTTTCAAGGCCTAGAAAGTTTCATGTGGAAAGAGCGTGAAGCCATGCCAAGGTAAAGCACTGTGGGGTATTCTGACAAAGCCACCCATCTAGAAACTGATATACTCCCATTTTCATGCCCCATCTCAGTCCAGTCTTGGTGTAGACAGAGCGAGAGGATGTGCATGGCCTTATGAAACACTTCTGGTTCCTCCTTCCCATCTGTCCTTAAAAAATTCACATATGTACACCAAGGCCATAGTTGCAAGTGCATAAAATCACTCATGAGGCTTATCAATAAGCGTAAAATTTCCGTGCTTGGAGCCCAAGAACTACATTTGCAGAGAACAAACCTACACATCTTTGAAGAAGGGAAAAAGAATTCAGAGGCAGTGAAGATTTATACATTGAGCCTACAGATCTCCTGAGAGATACATTTGCATTATAATTTGGCCTCCTAATGTTGACTTAAGCTCATTTAAACTGTTCCTGAGCATTGTGATTAATACAAATATGCTGTTGGCTGAAACTGTGAGATATTACAATCGACTTTATACAAACTTTCCCAGAAACTGATGGGTAAGGGAGTAGATGTGGAAGCTGACTTCAAGGAGTCCATGATTTTTTTAACTGCCTCTGCATTCCAAATTCTCATTAAAACTGACAGTTTCTTCATCTTTTGGCCTTAGCAAAAGTTTAGTGTGAAGAAGATATTTATTTATTCTGATATATTTTTTCTGCATAAATATGTAACTTACACACAGAGAGATATCACCTGCATTTTTGGCAAAAGTTTACATGAAAATCCAACATAATAAGTACACTAATTGGTACACTGCAGGTCTCAAGACATGTTTGATTAAAAACAGGTTAATATTTATTTTATTTTATTTTATTTTATTTTATTTTATTTTATTTTATTTTATTTTATTTTGAGACAGGGTCTCGCTCTGTCACTCAGGCTAGAGGGCAGTGGCGCAATCTCGGCTCACTGCAACCTCCACCTCCTAAGTTCAAGTGATTCTCCTGCCTCAGCCTCCCGAGTAGCTGGGATTACAGGTGTACATCACCGCGCCCGGGTAATCTTTTGTATTTTTAGTAGAGACGGGGTTTCATCATGTTGACCACGATGGTCTCGATTTCCTGACCTTGTGATCCACCCACCTCAACCTCCCAAAGTGCTGAGATTACAGGCATGAGCCACTGTGCCCAGCCCTACAAACATTAAATTTTTAAAAAGAAAAGAAAACAGACAAAATAGATAAAATATGAAATATTTTAGTGGAGGATTATAATTCATAGAAGTGTTACATGAACATTCTAGAACTGCAAAATATAATATCTAAAATTAGAAGTCACTTGATGTGTGTAACAGAACACAACAGAAAACAGCCTTGGGGAACTCAAAGACAGGTGAACCAAATGATAGAGTGAAAAAAGTAAAAAAAGCACAAAGAATAAAAGAGATCGGGGACATAATTAAAAGATCTAACATACATGCCATTTGAGGGGAAATGCAGTATTTCCTCTCAACAGAGAAGAAACAGAGAATAAAATATGAAAATTTTTAAGGAAATAATACATCATTTTACAAATAAAAGTCATAAATTCCAGAAGTTCAAAAAAATCCAACAGGAGAAACACAAAACCCCAAGTAGGCACTTCATGGTCGAACTGCTGAAAACTAAATATAAATAAACAAAAAGAAAAATCTCAAAAGCAGTTTAAAAAAAAATATATATATATATATACACACACACACACACACACACACACACATATGACTCTCAAGGAAAAATAAATAAGGACAGAGGATTTCTTGATATAAACCATTGAAGCCAGAAGACATCATTGAAGTGCCAAAGGAAAAAATTAACTACTAACCTTGAATTCCAGGTTGTATCAGAGAAAATATCCCTAATAAATGAAAATGACATAAGACTTTTAAGAAAACAAAGTTTAAGCAAATATATCATGGGCACACTAGTCCTACAAAAAACAGTTAAAGAAAGTCTTCAAAATAAAATAAATTGTTACAAATGAGAGCACAGAAGTGCAAAAAAAAAAAAAAAAAAGAAAAACACCAGAGAGTATAAACATAAAAGGCTCATAACCATTTAAAATGATAATAATAAAGTTTTATGTAGTTTGAAGTATATATCTAAGTAAAATATATTTTTAAAAACAGCAAAACATGTAGGAGATAAATGTAGTTAAGGATTTCTACATTTTGCAAGATGTGATATAGTACCATTTTAAGGTAGACTGCAATAAATTATAAATGCATTTTATAATTTCATTTTTTTTTTTTTTGAGACAGAGTCTTACTCTGTCACCCAGGCTGGAGTGTAGTGGTGCAATCTCAGCTCACTGCAATCTCCACCTCCTGGGTTCAAGCGATTCTCCTGCCTCAGCTTCCCAAGTAGCTGGGGTTACAGGTGCCCGCCACCATGCCCGGCTAATTTTTGTATTTTTAGTAGAGACGAGGTTTCACCATGTTGGCCAGGCTGGTCTGGAACTCCTGACCTGAGGTGATCCACCTGCCTCGGCCTCCCAAAGTGCTGGGATTACAGGCGTGAGCCACTGCGCCCAGCCACATTTTATAATTTCTACAGTAACCATCAGAAGAAAAATGTTATAATAAAAAAAAGTTAATAGAGGAAATATAATGGAATAAGAAAAGAAAAGAAGAAATAAAAGAATAGAAATCAGATACAACAAATAGAAGACAAGTTGGTAGATTTAAATCCAACTATATCAATAATAAATTTAAATAGACTAAATACTCCACTAACTCAACTAAATACTTTACTAAAGCACTAAATTAAAGCACTGAACACTAAAGATTAAACACTAAACACTAAATTAAAACACTAAAATATCAGACTGGATATAAAAGAGTAAAAGAGATGAAAAGCTATTTGCAAGAAATATCCAGTAAATATCAAGACAGATTCAGAATAAAAATGGAAAAAGATGTTTCATGCAAACTGACTTAAAGCTGCTGTGGCTCTATTAATGTCATACAAAATAGATTTTAAGGTAAACATTATTATGAGCAATAGAGACAGTTCAAAAAAATGAAAAGATCAGTTCAACAGA
Source organism: Homo sapiens (assembly GCF_000001405.40). Classification (NCBI taxonomy): domain Eukaryota; kingdom Metazoa; phylum Chordata; class Mammalia; order Primates; family Hominidae; genus Homo; species Homo sapiens. Next base: position 17,262,248 of record NC_000006.12, read on the forward strand.
AAAGAATCATAAATATATATGTACTTCATAACATAGCTTCAGGTTGGACACGATGTCTCACATCTGTAACCCCAGAACTTTGGGAGGCTGAAGCAGGCAAATTGGCTGAGCTCAGGAGTTCAAGATGAGCCTGGGCAATGTGGCAAAACTCTCATCTCTACAAAAAGTACAAAAGTTAGCCAGGTGTGGTGGCACACTCCTGTAGTCCCAGCTACTTGGAGGGCTGAGGTGGGAGGATCACTTGAGCTCAGGAGGTTGAGGCTGAAGTGAGCAGTGTTCACCCCACTGTACTCCAATGGGTGGCAAAGCGAGATCTTCTCTCAAAAAATATATATAAAAGAAAAACTGACAGGAATAAAAGGAGAGACAGAAAAATCCATAGTAATAATTGGAGATTTTAACAAACCTTTCTTAGTAACTGACAGAATAAGCACACACACACACAAAAATCAATAAAGCTATAGATGTTTTTGACAACAATTAACAATTTGACCTAATTAACATATGTAGAACATGCTACAGTAATTGTAAGATATGTCCCACTTTCAAGTGCTCATAAAATTTTTATTAAAATAGAACATACTCTGGGCAATAGATAAGTTTAAACAAATTTCAGATGGTCAACGGATTTAAATCATACAATGTATGTCTCTCACCGCTGTGTGGAATCAAATAAAACCCAAAATATAAAGATAACTAGAAAATTTCCAAATGTTTGAAAATCAAGCAACATACTTCTCAATAAACCATAGGTTAAAAAAAATCACATGAAAAATAGAAAACATTTAACGATGAATGACAATGAAAATACAACATATCAAAATGTATAAGATGCATAAGTTTGGCAGTTTCCTAAAAAGTTAAAAGTATGCCTACCTTATGACACAGCCATTCTACTCCTAGATGTTTATCAAAGAGTAGTGAACACATATGTCCTTGCTAAGACCTGTACATAAATGTTTCCAGCAGACTTATTTTGAATAGGCCAAACTAGAAACAACCCAAAGGTCCATTGACAGGTGAGTGGATAAATAAATTGTGCTACATGCCTACAAGAGAATACTACTTAGAAATTAAGTTATAAACTATTAATATACACAACATAAGTAAATTTCAAAATTATTGTGTTGAAAGGAATCAGACAATAAAAGAGGACATACCCTATTATTCCTTTTCTGTAAAATTCTAGAAATCAAACTAATAGTGACAGCAAGCAGATCATTGGTCACCTGGGGATAGGGAGGGACAGAAGCTAGGGATTACTAAGAGGCACGAGGTAACTTTTGGGGTACTGGAAATATTAATCGTCTTGATGGTGGTGATAACTTCACATGTGTATGTGGGTGTGTGTGTGCACTTATATGCCAAAATGCATCAAACTGTACATTTTAAATGTGTGTGGTTATGATTGACTATAAATCAACTTTATCACCATATAGCTGCAAAATTTTTAAAATAAACTTATAGTATATAGACTTTTGCTTCTGCTATGGAAAGTTAATTGTAATGGAGTAGCCCTCCCTCTGTAAACAATTATTAATATAGGCCGGGCGCGGTGGCTCATGCCTGTAATCCTAGCACTTTGGGAGGCCAAGGTGGGCGGATCACGAGGTCAGGAGATCGAGACCATCCTAGCTAACACAGTGAAACCCCGTCTCTACTAAAAATACAAAAAATTAGCCGGGTGTGGTGGCGGGCGCCTGTAGTCCCAGCTACTAGGGAGGCTGAGGCAGGAGAATGGCATGATCCCAGGAGGCGGAGCTTGCAGTGAGCCGAGATCGCACCACCTGGGCGACAGAGCAAGACTCCGTCTCAAAAAAAAAAAAATAATATAATACTAGGCAAAATATATGAAGTCGCTGTGTTCAGGCATTTGGCAATGGACAGCACAAGACAAAAATTCCTGAAGGAAGAAAAACTCTGAGCTGACTATTTTGATTGCCCTAGCTTTCTATTTGGGAACTAATTCCTGACCGTGGCACAGCGAATTGGAGTCTCAGCAGAGCTTGGCGGTCTTGCTGAGATGAGGAGTCGGGAAGTTTGGGGAAGATGAAGTGCCTAAAATTTGTGAGGCAGGGCACCAGGGAGAAGGGATCCTTGAGAGGCAGGAGTTGGGGAGAAACGTGGGGGTTCCCCCTAGAAGTCCTTGGCTAAGGGATACAGGGCAAGACTACCTGAGACTTGCCAAAGAGTGGCTGTTTTGGAAAAAAGATACAAGAGGACAAACAAGTGCTGCAGAACACTGAAATTTCAGTCCAGCTAATAACTCATCGATACCTCATGCCAGGATTCAACAGATTAAGTTCTTTTCTAGACCCTTCCCAAAAAAGCCTAAAACCATGTCCAGACAAGCTCTTCAGGGAAGAGAGAGTTTGTATGTTTAGTCTTACCAAATTATTGAGGCTTGGAAAATACCTCCATGGTTCTATCTAAACAAAATGTAAAACCAAACCCTCATACAGCTCAGGTAGTAACTTAACTCCACACAGTACTAAAGTCAACGCTCTTTAGAGAAACAAAACAATGTCCAAATTATCTCTAATGTATAATTGTCAAAGGCCATTATTGTTTTGTGTGTGTTTTCTTTTTCTTTTTTTTTAAAGCCACAGATCTCTTAACTTTGTCCAAAGAATATTTTTAATTTAAAAAAATTACTATACATGGCAAAAAATAAGTAATAGTCAGGAAAAAAAAAAAGCAGTTTATACAAACCAACCCTGAGATGGCCCAGATATTGGTTTAACAGAAAATAACTAAGCAGTCTTATAAATATGGTCAAAAAATACAAGAAAAATATGTTTTTGGTTTGTTTGTTTGTTCATTTGTTTTGACAGACTCTCACTCTGCCACCCAGGCTGGAGTGCAGTGGCGTGATCTTTGCTCACTGCAACCTTCACCTCCGGGTTTCTAGCAATTCTCCTGCCTCAGCCTCCCGAGTAGCTGGGACTATAGGCACACACCGCCACGCCCGGCTAATTTTTTTGTATTTTTTAGTAAAGACTGGATTTCAGCATGTTGCCCAGGCTGGTCTCGAACTCCGGAGAGCTCAGGCAATCCACCCACCTCAGCCTCCCAAAGTGCTAGGATTACAGGCGTGAGCCACCGTGCCCAGCCAAATATGGTCTTAATGAGTAAACAGACAGAAAATCTAAGCAGAGAAATTAAAACGTTTACAGAATGATTCTATTGTAGAAAATATAATAAATTGAAATTTAAAAATTGCTCGTTTGGTTTAATAGCAGATTGGAGATAGCAGAATAAATAATTAGTGAACTTTAAGATAGATCAATAAAAATCGTTAACTTGAAAAACAGAGAAAAAAATTCCAAAGAAAAAAAGAACATAGCCTCTGAGATTTGTGGGATAATATTTAAGATAATGTAACATACATATAATTAAATTCCCAGAAGGGGAATTAAATGAAAATGAGGCCCCCCAAAATTGTTTCTGACAAAATAATGGCCAAAGAGAACATCCCATTTATCCAGTATATTGATGACATCATGCTAATTGGACCAACTGAGGAAGAAGTGGAGACCTTGGTATTACACATGGACTTCAGAAGGTAGGACATAAAACCTATGAATATTCAGGGTCCACCCACATCAGTAAAATTTTTAAGTATCCCCTCCAAAGTAAGGATGAATTATTGCATCTCCCACCTCCTACAACTAAGAAGAAACCATAATGCCTGGTGGGCCTCTTTGGGTCATAGAGGCAGATATTCTATGCCTAGGAATATTTCTCCCACCCATTTAACAGGTAAGATGAAAGCAACAAGCTTTCAGTGGGGTTGAAAGCAGGAAAGGACACAACATCAAGTCCAGGCTGTGATGCAAACAGTCTTATCACTTGGGCCATACACCCTGACAGCCCCTGTGTTATTACATTAGAGCTATCAGTGGTGGGAAAAGATACTATGTGGGGTTTATGGGAAGTCCTCCTAAGAGGACTTAGAGGATTACAACATACTGTAACCCTAGGGTTCCAGAGCACACTGATGCCAGTTGCAGCAGATATTAACACACCTTTCATAAAAAGGCCCTTGGCACACTCTTGGGTTCTGGTAGAGACAGAGGGCCTGGCCATGGGACACTAAATGACCAGGCAACCGTAATTCCACATCATGAGCTGGACTCTGTCAGAGCTACCAAGTTCTAAAGGTGAACAAGCCCAACAATTCATCACAAAGTGGAAGTGTTCCACCCAGAAGTGCACAAGCAGAACCAGAGGGCACAAGCAAGCTGTCCACACAGCTGCTGCAGACTCTATGTCCCCCTCCACCATGGAACGAGCACTTCTCCTTCAGCACACGGTGTCCAGTGGCTTAATCCTTTAGAACCAGCTGCCAGAAAAGGAAGAAGCCCCAGCCTGGTTCATAGTAGGCCAGCCTATTACATGGGGAAGCAAAAAATAGATGATATCTCCACTACAACCCCATTCGGAGGCAGCCTTGAAAGACAGCAGTGGCTGGGTGCGGTGGCTCACGCCTGTAATCCCAGCACTTTGGGAGGCCGAGGCGGGCGGATCACGAGGTCAGGAGATCGAGACCATCCTGGCTAAAACCGTGAAACCCCGTCTCTACTAAAAATACAAAAAATTAGCCGGGCGTAGTGGTGGGCGCCCGTAGTCCCAGCTACTTGGGAGGCTGAGGCAGGAGAATGGCGTGAGCCCGGGAGGTGGAGCTTGCAGTGAGCCGAGATCACGCCACTGCACTCCAGCCTGGGCGACAGAGCGAGACTCCGTCTCAAAAAAAAAAAAAAAAAAAAAAAAAAGACAGCAGTGGAGCGAAATCCTCCCATTGTATACAGCTCAGGCAGTGGACTAGGCTATCCACCTTTGTGCAGAAAAATAAGTGGTGCAAGGTAAGAATATATGTAGATAGGTGGCTGGCATCATTTGGTCATCTGGTCAGAGACTAGGAAGAAGAAAGACAGGAAGATCAGGAACCAACAAGTCGAGAGAAGAAGCATAAGGATAGAGATATAACACTGGGCACAAAGTGTGAAGATCTTTATAGCACATGTTAATGCCAATCAGAATATAACTGCCCCAAAATAGCTTGAATAGTTGATATTGACAGCTTCTGTCATCAGCCACACCAAGGCTGGCACAATGGGTACATAAACATGGTCACCGTATTAGTATGTTCTCACACTGCTATAAACAACGACCTGAGACTGGGTAGTTTACAAAGAAAAGAGGTTTAATTGACTCACAGTTCCACAGACTGTACAGGAGGCATGACTGGGGAGGCCTCAGGAAACTTAACAATCATGGCAGAAAGTGAAGGAGAAGCAAGAACATTTTTACATGGCTGGCAGGAGAGAAAGAGAGAGAGGAGGAGGAGGTGCTACACACTTTCAGATAACCAGATCTCATGAGAACTCTACGACAAGAACAGCAAGGGGGAAGTCCATACCCATGATTCAGTCACCTCCCACCAGGGAATTTAATCACCTCCAAAATTGGGAATTACAATTTGACATGAGATTTGGGTGGAGACACAGAGCCAAACCATATCAGTCACCATGGTAGCAGGGGTGGAGGCTACACACAGGCCTTACAGCTCTGACCAAGGCTGATATGATGACTAACCTGCCGGCAGCAAAGGCCACTGCTGGTTCCACAATCAATCCCCACTCCTCGATGGGACCAACCAGTCCCTTGGTAGCAAGTTGTCTACCTTCTATATTGGCCTCCTTTTACTCAGGAAGGAGCAGAGACTTTGACAAGTATAAATATCTTTTGGGGAGAGAGTTGGCCTTTTCTGCCCATAGGGAGCAGTATTGGCACCAGCACAGAACCTCGTATAACATTGCAATAAGCCAGGGGATCCACTTTATAATAAAGGGAGTATGAGATTGAACACGTGACCATAGAATCTACTGGTCATGTCATATACCTCACTACACAGAAGCTACTGGCCCGAGGACAGAATCATCTGTTGAACGCACAGCCCCCTTGCTGTTATTGTGGTAGAGCTCTCACAAGATCTGGTTGTTTGAAAATATGTAGCTTCTCCCCCTTCTCTCTCTCTCTCTCTCCTGGTGCTCTCAGAGGTGATGCCTGGCAAAACTGAGTCATCATCCTACAGAACACGGTGTATGCTTTCAGTCAATGACCCTTATGCCGTGATTTATAGCTCCACGTTTTTTTCTGATACCAAATGTGTGATGTCTTTTCCAAGACCAACAAGCAATTCTCCAACTCTGACACCAACTAGGTGTCCAATAATTTAATTAAATTCTGACACTAACTACCCACAGTTAGTGCAGACCCCACAGATTAAGGGCTCAGAGTCACAAGACTGGCCCTACTTCGGACACCAGCCTCAAGCAGGAGCCCGAGGCACCCCACACTGCTGCCCAGTTGACAACAAATTCAGAGGTTCCCCTTGGATTCAATAATTCACAAGAATGACTCATAGAACTCAGGAAAGTGTTTTATTTATGATTACTAGATTATTATAAAGGATATAACTCCGAGGCCAGCAAATGAAACACTTGTATATGAATAGGGCAAAGCATGGAGGGGCTGGGGTGGGGTTGCCGTCTCCATGTGTGCCACCCTGCCAGCACAATAATGTGTTCACCAACCCTGAAGCTCCCTGAACCTGTCACTTAGGGGTTTTTATGGAGGTTTCATTATGTAAGCATAATTGATTAAATCATTGGCCACTGGTGATTGAACTCAATCTCCAGTCCTTCTCCCCTCCCAGGTTGGAAGGTGGGGCTGAAAGTTCTAACCCTCCCACACTGTGGTTGGTTTTTCAGGTAACCAGCCCCATCCTGAAGCTATCTCATTAGCACACAAAAGACAGTAAATTCCAAGAGTTTTAGGAGCACCTTGCCACAAACTAAGGACAAAGACCAAATATTTATTATTTAGTATACCACAGCTCTCAATAGGTGGAAGGAATACGTCTAAGAACCAATGAATGAAATTAAGAGTGCCCCTTCTTCCATCACCCCCCCAGTGACTCTGGCCAGTCTGTGCCTTCTGCACCTGCAATTCTGGGCTCAGTAAGTTTAGAGGTCCTAGTCCCCAAAAGATAATTATTTTGCCAGAAGACACAGCAAGAGTCAAATGGAACTGTAAGGTACAACTGCCACCTGGGCACTTCAAGCTCCTTATGTCCAGGGACCAGCAGGCAAGAGTCACCATCCTGACAGAGGTAATTACCCCAGTCATCAGAAGAACCTTGGGGTGCTTTATACTGTGAGGCAGGAATAGATTTGACACTCCCATGATCCACATGGATGCTTCTTGGTATTCCCTCGTCTTATTTTGACAATGAAAGCAGAAGTGCAGCAGCTCCATCATGAGAAGGGCATGGCAAGCAGGGGTCCATACCTCTCAGGATTGAGGGTCTAGGTTACATCCTGTGATGGTTAATTTTCTGTATCAACTTGGCTTAGGCCATGGTGCTCATTTGTTTGGTCAAACACCATTCTAGATGTTGCTGTGAAGGCATTTTGTAGATGTGATTCACATTTACAATCAGTCGACTTTCAGTAAAGGAGCTTATTCTCAATAATAGAGGTGGACCTCATCTAATCATTTGAAGGCCTTGACAGCAAATCTGAGATTTCCCAGAAAAGAAGGAATTCTGCCTCAATATTACAATGGAAAAAATCCTGCCTGAGTTTCCTGCTTGCTGGCCTCCCCTGTAGATTTCAGACTTGCCAGCTCCCAATTCCATGAGTCAATTCCTTAAAATAAATCAGTCTCCTCCCCGACCCTTCTCTCTGAAGAGGGAAAGAGAGAGAAAGAGATCTCCTATTGGTTCTGTTTCTCTGAAGAATCTTGACTGATACATACACATGACTAAGCAAATCACTGAGACCAGGAGGTATGCTAGCTAAGGATGACAGGAATTTAGAACGGATCGTGAAGATGAGTATCAGTTGCAGGCCCAAAACCACCTGGAGCAGTAGAGGTTACAGTTTATTCCACTATCCTTCTAAGTTCCCTCAAGAAAAGGAGCACAAGAGCCCTGGAAGGGTTGCTCCCATAACTTATATGAAGAAGTAAATCCAAGAGGCACAAAGAGTAGTGTGTGATGGAAACTGTGATGCATTGCCCAGATTCCCCTTCAGGAATGGACTTTTTTTCCCAGGTGCTGGAAGAGCTACCAGCAGGAAGCCTTCTGCTGTCAGCCTCACATGGAGAATAAACTGGCTGAAGAGAGCTGCATTGTCCAAGGTCATGCCTCCTTCATGTGTTGGCCCACTTCAATGACTGATGAATGAGAGCAGGAAAAAGGCACAGCTCTCTCCACTCCCAAGGGTCATCCCAGCTTCAAAACTCCCCATAGTAACTGGCTGAAGACTCTATTGAGACTGCATTGCAGATAGAGTTTTCCCTGTGCTTAATCTTATTTCCTTCAATTGCTGAGAAAGAGATGTTAACATCTCCCAACTATGATTGTGAGTTGAGCAAAAAAAGACAAACAAAATAGAGTAACTACTCTATTATTTCATTTATATGGAAGTCAAGAACAGGTAAAAACTAACCTATGATGATGGAAGTCAGAATAGTGTGTGTGTGTGTGTGTGTGTGTGTGTGTGTGTGTGTGTGTGTAAGGAAAGTGGTTATTGATTGGGAAGGGGCACAGAAGAATCTTCTGGTTGATGGAATGGTCTGCAACTTGATCTGGTAGTGGTTACATGGTGAACATCTATGTAAAAACACCAAGCTACATATTTAAATTTGTGCAACTGAATATATCTAAGTTACATCTACATTTAACAAATCGTGCTTTAAAAGGTAAGCCAAGCTCATCTGAATCCCTGTTGAGTCCTTTGCCAGATGCATCACCTTTTGGAAGCCATTTATCTCTAGGCTTCAGTTTTCTCAATTCCAAAATGAGGGATTGGACTGGATATTTGAGTTACATGCCATGCGTCTATCAAAACAGCTCTTTAAAGTATTTTTGCAAATTGAAGAAAAAAAACAAAGGGCAGCTCGCAAAAGAAAAACAAATGGTTTCAGAGACATGTTAAAAAAAACAAAAAGAGAGCATTTTACATCTATATTTTATATATATACATATAAATATATTTAAAAATTAAATGCAAATATTTAGTGTAGCTTTTTATTGTTTCCAAAGCTTTTCCTCTACCATTTCCTCTTCCCCAAAAAACTCAGAATCTCACAACCACAGGGTTTGGTGGGGTTCATCTCACCCTCAGTTCCAGGGATGGGTCATCATGGGTCGACCAGTGTCATTTCAACCCCTGTGCCCATGGAATTTATCCCATGATGACAAAACAGAATAGAACCCAGTCCCAAGCCAATCAGCTATCACATTCCCTTGGCCTCTTAGATTGGCTCAAGAATGAGCTAGCAACATAAATTGATACAATCCAAAGGAACATCAGACTTTTGTCTAATAATTGAACGAAAAGAACACCTGACCACCATCCCCACCACCCTCATGGAAGCTCGTGGTCCTGGGAGCTTCTGGGAGCCTCTTGCTACCTTGAGGGAGTTGGCTTAGGAGCAAAATCAACAATGAGAAGCCAGAGCATCCCAGCAAACAGAGCCACGGTCTTAACAACATGACCCTTGCACTCAAACCACACCTAAAGCCTGCCCTTCCTCTGGACTTTGCAATTACAACAGATGTGTTAGTCTGTTTTTTTGCATTGCTATAAAGAAATACCTGAGACTACATAATTTCTAAAAAAAAAAAAAAAAATAACCAAAAACTGCCATGCTGTACAGGCATGGCACCAACATCTGCCTGGCTTCTGGTGAGGCCTCAGGAAGCTTATGATCATGGCAGAAGGTGAAGGGGAGCCAGGGTATCACACGGCAAGAATGGGAGCAAGAGAGAGAGAGGGGCGAGGTCCCAGACTCTTTTAAACAACTAGATCTGGCATGAACTAACTGAGCAAGAACTCACTGATCACCAAGAAGATGGTGCTAAGCCATTCATGAAGGCTCTGCCTCCATGATCCAATCATCTCCCACCAGGCTCCACCTCCAACATTGGAAATCACATTTCAACGTGAGATCTGGAGGGGGAACATATCCAAACCATATCAGGAGATGATAAATTCCTTATATCATTTAAGTCAGTGCGAGTTAGGATTTTTCGCAACTGCAACCAAAATTATTTTATCTTTTTTATTTATTTATTGTTTTTGAGATGGAGTCTCGTTCTGTTGCCCAGGCTGGAGTGCAGTGGCACAATCTCAGCTCACTGCAAGTTCTGCCTTCCGGGTTCACGCAATTCTCCTGCCTCAGCCTCCGGAGTAGCTGGGATTACAGGCACCCGCCACCATGCCCAGCTAATTTTTTGTATTTTTAGTAGAGACGGGGTTTCACCGCGGTCTCAATCTCCTGACCTTGTGATCTGCCCGCCTCAGCCTCCCAAAGTGCTGGGATTACAGGCGTGAGCCATGGCGCCCGGCCCAATTATTTTATCTTATACAGAGGTGTCAGTGAGGATTCTGGAAAACTGACATCAACATGCAGCTGGTAGAAATAAAACCTGATGCTATCTTTTGTAGGACAATTTGGCAACATGCATCAAAAGATCTAAATATGGGCATATCCTTCAACCTACTGCATAAACTTGTAAAATTTATTCATTCGTTCAACAAATATTTAAGCCCTGACTATGTGCCAAGCACCATTCTAGGAATCAGGGGTTTAGCAGTGAACAAAACAAAGTCCCTTATGGAACCTGCCTTAGGAAACAATCAAGGCTGTGTAAAAATTATAGAGAAGTTAAGAAGAAATTATTTAGGCAGATAGTAAGTGTATGGGAGAACGCAGTAAGGCTTTTATTTTTAATGAAAAGCAGCCCCAAATCATTTTCTAACAAAGAGCAGCCCGTAAAGTCAAGTTGTAGACATAAACAAGCAAGCTGGGAGCTTGCACAGGTGAATGCCAGCGGGAACTAGGGACTAGACATGTTCAAGATGGCGGCTCCATCTTCCCTTCTCTTTGTCAGCCACGTGTACAGTAAGGAGCAGACAAGATGGCTCCGATCAACTAGAAAGCCCATTTGCATAATAAGATTAGTGTGGGAGACCAGGCTTATTACCTATGCAGTATGTAAAAGTCATACCTGATGGAACCAATCTATGAGCCCTGTGTAAATCAGACACCACCTCCTCAAACTGGACTATAAAATCTGGCACATTCACCACCAGCTGGTCTTTTCTGCTTGGAGACCCCTTTCTTTATAGAGAGAGCTGTTTCTCCTTCTCTTCTCTTCTCTTCTGCCTATTGAACCTCCACCTTGTGTGTGTCCATGTCTTAAATTTTCCTGGCCCATGACAATGAACCCCAGGGTATATACCCCAGACAACACAGTCGCTTCAAAAAGATTTATCTATTCTGTTCCTAGAAAATCTCATAGTTTCTGCCCAAAAGCTCCTAGATGTGATAAACAACTTTAGCAAAGTTTCAAGATATTAATACAAAATCAATGTACAAAAATCAGTAGCATTTCTATACACCAACCATGTCCAAGCTGAGAGCCAAATCAAGAATGCAATCCCATTCACAATAGTCACAAAATGAATAAAATACCTAGGAATACAACTAACAAGAAAGGTGAAGGATCTCTACTATGAGATTTATAAAACACTGCTCAAAAAATCAGAGATGACATAAACAAATGGAACAACATTCCGTGCTCATGGATAGGAAGAATCAATATTGTTAAAATGGCCATACTGCCCAAACTAATTTACAGATTCCATGTTATTCCTATGAAACTACCAATGACATTCTTCACAAAATAGTTTTTTAGAAAAAAACTATTTTAAAATCCATATGCAACAAAAAAAGAGCTCAAATAGCCAAGGCAATGCTAAGCAAAAAGAACAAAGCTGGAGACATCACATTACTTGACTTCAAACTGTACTACAAGGCTACAAGTAACCAAAACATGATACTGGTACAAAAACAGACACATAGGCCAATGGAATAGAATAGAGAGCCCAGAAATAATGTCACACACACATCCACAAGTCTGATCTTTGAAAAAGTTGACAAAAACAAACAATGGGGAAAGGACTTCCTATTCAATAAATGATGCTGGGATAACTGGCTAGCCATATGCAAAAGGTTGAAACTGGACCCCTTCCTTATAACCATAAAGGAAAATCTATTCAAGATGAATAAACAAGTTCAGCAAAGACTTAAATGTAAAACCTAAAACCTAAAAACCCTGGAAGATAACCTAGGAAATACCCTTCTGGACATAGGCCCTGGCAAGGATTTCATAACAAAGATGCCAAAAGCAATTACAACAAAAACGAAAATTGACAAATGGGATCTAGTTAAACTAAAGAGCTTCTGCACAGCAAAAGACACTATCAATGGATTAAATAACCTACAGAATGGGAGAAAAATTTTGCAAACTATACATCCAACAAAAGTCTAATATCCAGAATCTGTAGGGAACTTAAACAAATTAACAAGCAAAAGTCAAACAACCCCCTATTAAAAAGTGGTCAAAGGGGTGGGAGCGGTGGCTCACGCCTCTAGTCCCTGCACTTTGGGAGGCCGAGGTGGGCGGATCACTTGAAGTCAGGAGTACCAGACCAGCCTGGCCAACATGGCAAAACCCTGTCTCTATTAAAAATACAAAAAATTAGCCAGGTATGGTGGCACGTGCCTGTAATCCCAGCTACTCAGGAGGCTGAGGTGGGAAAATCACTGGAACCCAGGAGACGGAGGTTGCAGTGAGCCGAGATCACGCCACTGCACTCCAGTCTGGGTTACAGAGCAAGACTCCGTCTCAAAAAAAAAAAAAAAAGTGGTCAAAGGACAGGAACAGACACTTTTCAGAAGACATACACACAGCCAACAAGCATATGAAAAAAAAACTCTCAACATCACTACTTAGAGAAATGCAATTCCAAACCACAATGTGATACCATCTTACACTAGTCAGAATGGCTATGATTAAAAAGTCAAAAAATGACAGATGCTGACAAGGTTGCAGAGAAAAGGAAACCCTTATACACTGCTGATGGGAATGTAAATTAGTTCTACCATTGTGGAAAGCAGTCTGGCAATTTCTCAAAGAACTTAAAACAGAACTACCTTTTGACCCCACAATCCCATTATTGGGTACATACCCAAAAGAATAAAAATCATTCTACCATAAAGACACACGCACACATGTGTTCACTGCAGCAATATTCACAATAGCAAAGACACAGAATCAACCTAAATGCCCATCAAGAGTAGACTGGGTAAAGAAAATGTGGTACATATACACCATAGAACACTACACAGTCATAAAAAAAGAATGAGATCATGTCCTTTGCAGCGACATGGGTGGAGCTGGAAGCCATTATGCTAAACGAATTAACTCAGGAATAGAAAACCAAATACTGCATGTTCTCACTTATAAGTGAGAGCTAAACACTGAGTACACATGGACACAAACGAGGGAACAATAGACACTGGGGCCAACTTGACGGTGGTGGGAATATAAATTAGTTCAACCACTGTGGATAGCAGTGTGGCTATTTCTCCCTAGGAGGAGGGAGAGGACCAAAAAACTACCTATCATGTGCTGTGCTTACTACTTGGTGATAACCTGTACACCAGACACCCATGACAAGCAATTAACCTCTATAACAAAGCTGCACATGTACCCCTGAACCTAAAATAAAAGTTTCTTAAAAAAAGATTTATTGGCCGGGCACAGTGGCTGACGCCTGTAATCCCAGCACTTTGGGAGGCCGAGGCGGGCAGGTCACCTAAGATCAGGAGTTTGAGACCAGCCTGGCCAACATGGTGAAACCCCGTCTCTACTAAAAATACAAAAATTAGCTGGGCGTGGTGGCAGGGGCCTGTAATCCCTACTACTAGGGAGGCTGAAGCAGGAGAATCGCTTGAACCCAGGAGGTGGAGGTTGCAGTGAGCCCAGATCGCACCATTACACTCCAGCCTGGGCAACAAGAGCAAACTTCTGTCTTAAAAAAAAAAAAAAAAAAATATATATATATATATATATATATATATATCTGCAAAGGTATTAATTTCAGAGCCCTTTATAACTGCGAAAACTTGGAAAAATATAAATATCCAACAAAAAGAGACTGCATAAATAAACTTGGGGACAATGACATGTTAAAATGCTATTCAAATTGTAGAAACAATTTAAAACAAGGAAAAATATTCACTATATATACTAGTAGTTTTTTTAAAAAGCTGATAAAAGCTGTACTTTCCTTTTGTAACACTTACGTGTGTATATTTATGTATAAGAAAAGCCTGGAATTAGATACTCTAAAATGTCAACAGTTATTTTAAGGAGTAGAAAGAATTGTGGGTAATTTTTATTTTCTTCTTTGTATATCTTTATGTTTTCATAACTTTCTATCATGAATATGCCTTTCCTTTGTTATCAGAGAAAATATCAATCTTACAAAATGATCTCAAATGGCTTAAATTAAAAAGTTAATAAGCAACACTCAAGTATTAACATTAAGCCATCTTTGAAGTCAGAGGTCACCCTCTATAGACATCTTTAAATAAAGGGTCACGCTAGTATCCTCCATTCTAGGATAAGATCATGAGTATTTTTCTAACCACATTTGTCCTTTTTAATGAAATAAACCAAACAAGGTCTTGGGGCTGGTTAATAACTGCCTGGACTAGACTCTAGGTCTCCTGTCTTGAGATCCAGGACTATTTCCATCACCCGGTGCCCTCTGCCCAGCCCACAAGCAACAGCATTAGAATGTATTTGTCATCCAGAGAGAGGTCATTCAATACATTTGGAGAGTATCATCAGTTCCCTAAAAATAACTTGGCAGCTCAGAAGCTCACTGTTTAAAAGACTTAAAACCAAAGGACACCCTGAGTTTAAAATGTGAACAAGCACACAGTGGGTTTAAAATGTTTGCATTCTCTTTCTTGCCTTTCGGGTTTACATAATAGAAATTAAAGTGTGCATACACTTAAAGCTACTTCTACACAGGCAGGGTGAAATTACTGGCACGGTGACACTGGCAATGAACATTTTTGTCCCTCGACACTTTGATTTTTGCCCTTGCCTGTCCCTCAAATAATCCTGCTCTGCTTTCTGTTTTTTGGATTTTCAGTGTAAAAGAGACATTATGACTTTAATGACTGAATAACAGGCACAAATTTGCATTTCACTTTATTTACCAGCTTAGCTGTGGTTTAATGCAACATGAATAGAATTCCCCCAGAGGTGAGTCTGAGCTGAACTGACTAGGTTTTTGACTGCCAATTCTTCTGCACACTAAAATAGCAGCATAACCTATCACACACATTTGTTATCTGTTACTGAGAGAGAATTAGCAACCCACCCAAAGAAACAGAAATACAGCTGATGACGGGACTTCTCAAAAGGCCAGAAAACCTGTTGGTTTTACATCAAAATGCTCACACAGATACTCAAAAGAAGATAAAATATTTCCAAACCACCAAAACAAAAGACTTCACTGAAGCCATATTTTTGTTTAAAAAAAAAAAACAAAAAAGTGCCCAGCCTCAAAAAAAAAAAAAAAGTGCCCACTTTATAGGTCGTCAATTCTAATCAAGAATGCATTTCTTCCCATCAAGCTTGAAGGCAGGCATCTTTAAAACATCAATTTTTTTTCAGTAAATATTTCTTTAGTGCCAAGTATATGTAGAACCCTCTGAAGGGTTTTAATAACCAGCAGGAGATCCAGTGACACCTAAGAGTGTCACCCTGCTCTCAGGTGGCTTATTGTCCAAAGCAATATTATCTCTGGGGTACAAAGCCCAAAAGAGTGCTTCTCAATCTTCATGAAATATTTCTCTCTTTTTTCAAAATTATTCTAAAAGGCTGTGAGCCTGAAGTTGATTTCCATGATTAATTTAAGAGGCAAGGGGAGAAGAGAAGACAGTTATACATGAATGTGAAACTTGTGAGTTTGGTTCTGGCCTTTATAGTCAGATAAAGATTTTGAACAAAGTGGACAATAATTTACAGTAAGTAATAAAATAATATTGATCTTGCCATGGAGTAGGAACCAAAACTTCAGGCCCATCCATATGTACTAATTTGGAGATGACAACCTTGTGGAACCTATTTATAACTTTTACAGTATTTTATGGTTCTTTCTTTCCAAAGAAGCACACATTATATTGCACAAGGCCTGTGAATATACAAGTATTCTCTGCCAAAAGCAGCTGACAAAGCAAAAGGATTATCCAAGCATTGTTTTTCAAACCTGAATTTGTAATGAGTAATTGTACAGAAATATTCGGTACTTAACCTTGAAACCTTGAATTCAGAAAAACTTTATGGCCCCAAGGCTACATGATTTGATGGCTCAGATTCGTAAATCCACCAAGAATGAGGATCTGGCCATTTTAACTGTGTCCACCTTGGTGCAAATGTAAAACAAAACCCACAGGGGCAGCAATGATGCCTACCACAGTGCTTGCCTGGGCGAAGGGAAGGGGGTCTTGATGAAAGTTTGTTGAGATGAACTGGGTATGAATTCTGGCTTCCGTTTAAATACGTTTGGAAAATAAGGAATCTCCATCCCTCTTAACCTTTGTTCTCAGTGACTCACGTAATACCAGTGTATTAGTAATGTTTTAATTATCCCTGGAATTCAAAATTAGGGACCGTCCAGGCAAAGTTTCAGGCAAAGTGATCAAGTATTTACTGTTCCCTTGAAAGAATAAAAACACTGCAGTCAGGGGTTGCACGGGATGGGAGGGACAATGACAAGGAGGCGTCTTATTTCCAGAAGCTGAGTTCTAGGACACAAGTATTCCAACCCGGGATCAGAATTTCCTTGTAGATCTCACCACTTTACCTAGTGAACATCCTAGCTGCTGGCTACACTCCCAGACACCCTCCTTCCCTGATATTATCACAGTCCTCTCCAGGGTGGGCTCCCAATCCAGGTAGGAAGAAAGGCGAGACAGCCAAAGGCGCCCTTCTAAGGCTTCTCTCTAAGCAGCTTCCCTTCACAAAAGGGTTTTGCCTGAGCCTCATCTACGTACAGTAATTCTTAAATGACACAAGATGGATGTTGAATATTAAAAAACACGCCTCTTCTCTTTCCCCGCCTGCTTTGTTTTTCTAACTTTTAAAAATTATCTTTCATCATACCAGCACAGAGAGTCGTTTTTGAACCTGTCCTTTAACTTAAGTAATGAAGAGAGGGTGTTTACAATTTCACTTTCTGGCTCTCATCTGTCTGTAAAATTCTTTATTATTTTTTTAATCGGGTGAAAAAAATGTTTTTAACTTTAATAGATTTCTGATTTCTCTATATCTCCCACTGGGGGTTCAAACTTAAAGAAACCAGTGACGTCAAAAAGTCAACCTCATGAGGAAGTCAGCAAGATGAAAAACGGAATTTAATGTTTTGCACAAGAATATTTGCATTCCCATTAGCCTTTGCAAATGCAACATTTCTCACCCTCTTGGGTTGACTGCAAAGGTGTCCTGGAGAGAAACAGAGTATGCACCTCTCTAACGGTTAACATACTGAATTGTTTTAATGGAATAAATGGTGCGGCTCAGGGGCGATTAATGTAGGGACTGTAGACTCCCGTAGAAAGGACTTAAAAGGCAATTGTGCACCAACAATGGTGGATGAAACCTTCTGCTCACATCAAATATTTTCATCCAAACCTCAAGTATGACTGATTGATTTTAAGGCCTAATTGAATGAATTCTCAATTAAAAGAAGTTGCAAAAAGCTGATGTAAAGTAATAAATATATATGGGGTGCCCTATGTTCTACAAATGCTTTCAGGTCTGCTGGTAGAAACCACTGGTTATGCAATAAGTTGATTTCAAAAATTATACCTTTTACATTTACATCCAGATAAAAACAGATGAGGTCAAGCCACTAAACATTCTTGTAATTCAAAGAGAAAGAAATAGATTAATTCTTTGTTTAGGGAAAAAAAAAAAAAAAGAACGACTTATGCTAAGACATCTGTACCAATCTTCCTGAATAACTAAGTTAGGGAGGAAAGACAAATTTGGTGACTGTGGGGGCTAAAATACTAACTTATGGTCCTCTGAAATAGAAGGCGGTGCCTGATGGACATAGGTATCTCCGGTTACTTGGTTTGGCTGGGCGGTAGCAATTAAAGCTAATGGTTTTCCCAACTACACCCAAGCGCTAGATCTTTCTTTTCCTTCTGGCTCTACCTCTCTGATACTTCCCCGCACTGGCTTTTTGGGGCCAAAGAAAGTTGGGGCCCTCCTTCTCACTCTTCAGACCCCAGGGTGTCCAGCTTGGGTTTCGTTCGGCCGAGCTCCTTGACCCCCCGCGCCCGGGAGGGGATTGGCCTCTCAGCGAATCGCCCCAGGCCTCTGGGGACCCCAGTTCGCCAGTCCAGGTCGCCGGCCCTGTCACCGAGGCCTAACCCAAAAAGCTCGCGTCGTCCCCTCTGGAAAGCAACGCAGCTTCCTCCTTGGGCACAGTCCCCGCACCCTGGGTCCCGGCTGGTGCTGCGCCGGGTCCCTAAGACTTTGACTGGTTAGAGCAGGCGACGCCGAGAGCCAGGCCGCCTACAGGCGTCTCCAGCCCTACCCCATCGCCGGCTACAGAGCGGGAGCCCCGAGCCCCAGCGCCGCGCCGCGCGGGGAGAGAAGCAGCTGTTCCCAACAGCTGGGGGGCGGCGGCGCCCGGCGCCCCAGGTGCTGCCGCGGCCAATCGCAGGCGTCCGGCCCGCCCCCCTCCCCAGCCGGGCGTCGACCCCCGGCCCGCGGGGGAAGGGAGCAGAGAGGTGGAGAGCTGTCCTCGGCACTCGTCTTCCAGATCCCACGGCGGGAGGGACAGACCAGAGCCGAAGCTGCGCGGAGTTCCTCGCCCCTGGCCCCGCCGCCGCGCCCCCCGCCCGCTTCGGCGCTCGGACGCTCTTCCCGCGGACCCTCCCCACACCCCACCCAAGGCACCTGATTCCTAAGGAAGAAAAATCTACCTCTAAAGCACCCGCTTCTTCGCTTGAGAACTACCCTCTCTTTTCATTTTTGGCCTCCCCGCCGGGTGAGTGGAAACCGCTTGCACATTCTATAGAACCCGATTCTAATCCAGACGATCCGGAGAATTTGTACGGTGACCGGCAGGGGGGGCGGGAGGAGAGAGCGAAGTCAAGTCTCCAGGGCCGCTGGCGACTTCGGAAGCCGCGCGCCCGGCGCTCTCGGCCGCCCCCGGCCGCTCGCCCCCGCCGCGCCGCCGCCCTCGCCCCCGGGCTCGCCCTTGGCCCCCGGCGGCCGCGAAAGGGTGCGGGAGACGCGGAGCCGGAGGAGGAGGCGCAGCCGCTGCCCGAGCCGCAGCCGCAGCCGGAGCCCGAGCCGCGGGGCGGGTGCGAAGATGCACACGACCCAGAAGGACACGACGTACACCAAGATCTTCGTCGGGGGGCTGCCCTACCACACCACCGACGCCAGCCTGCGCAAGTACTTCGAGGTCTTCGGCGAGATCGAGGAGGCGGTGGTCATCACCGACCGGCAGACGGGCAAGTCCCGGGGCTATGGATTTGTAAGTTGCACGGACTGGGGGTGACGGGGAGGGACGGAGTGGCGGCTGACCCCGGGGATCGGGAGCTTGGAGTGAGGGGCTCGGCGTGACCCGTGAGGAGCCCCGCGGGTAGAGCGGCGCTGCCCCTTCGCTCCGGGGTGAACTGAAACTTTGCTAGGGGAGAGGGTCGGCGCCAGCCTCGCGGGGTTCGGAGAAGACCCAGCGCTGTGCGAGGTCGGGGGCCGGGCAGGGCAGAGCAGGGGTGAAAGGAGAGACCTGTAATGACGGCGGGATTTGGGGTGCGGAGGGTTGCGAGGGAGGGGCCGCAACCCTGAACAATTGCATTCCCGGGCTGGATGCCGGTTGTTAAGCGCGCTGTTGCTTTGTAAAAATGCGTGTGTTCTGGTGTTTTGGCTGGGGCAGGGAGGGGACACCCCACGAGGTCTGGGGCTGTTGCCCTTGTGTCATCCCCCCGCCTTTTAACTGCAAAGGTAGGTTCTTTTAAATCATGATCCTAGGGCTCTTTGCCGAACTGAAACAGAGCATATTAAGCTTCCTTCCTAGAGATTTAAGCGTGCAAATTCAGCTGCCGAAGAGCAGGGAGCCCCAGAGTAGGACAATAGCTATTGTCGTTGGGGAGTGTTTTCGAGGTTGGGAGCGTTGGGCGGATGTAAGGCTGGACTTTCTTTAAAGCAAACGGTGCCTCTGAGGCTGAGTAGGGACCTGGGGGGCGGGGGATTCGGGGGAAGGAGGATCTAGAGTTCCAAGAATTTAGGCTTCCAAATCTCGGCTAGGCCCTACTAACACCCTTAAGATTTCGGCGGTGGGGTGGGGGGAGGCAGGGTTAGAGGGTTTCTTTCTTTTTTCCTTCGTCTACCCGCCCCCCCCCCCCACGCCCCCGCCCGCCTGTTAAAAATGGGAGATCAAGGAGGAGGGTCCAGCCAAAAGAAGCAAAGAATAGAAAAAAAGTTTGATCTCAGTTTTATCATGAATGACTTCTCCATTGTGATTCTTGATTTCCTTCATGGGTTAATTTAGAGGTTATGTATGTATGTCTGTGTGTGTCTGTTGCTAAGGTCACCATGGCTGACCGGGCTGCTGCCGAAAGGGCCTGCAAGGATCCCAATCCCATCATTGATGGCAGAAAGGCCAACGTGAACCTGGCATACTTAGGAGCAAAACCAAGGATCATGCAACCAGGTGAGAAATGTCTGTCTCCCCTACCCCCCTCTCCAAGAACCCCCCATTTATGGGTGGGATGATTCTCTAATTTAGAAGACATTGTCTCTTTCTGTAGATGTGTTTAGTAAACTTGAACCATGGCTTGTTATTCTACCAAGGCATTAAACATAAATGAGAGTTGTAAATACTCCTCTCAAGGCTTGAAATGTACCTGTGTGCAAAAATGGATCTTGGGGGTCGTGCAGGAAGAAGAGTTAGTCATGTCTCACCTGTTTCCTATATGGCATACATTTGTAGTCTGCTCTCAATTTTCCAATTTTTAGCCACCTGTAGATAATTCACATGTGGATTATATAGGCCAAATTTGTCGACTTCAGCTAATATACTTCCCTACTTAGTGGTGTCTCTCCTTTTAGCACCAGTTGCACTGTGCTCAGAGCAGGCAGTCTGACTTGAACACAGACCCAAGGGAAGCATTAAGGGGTAGGGGCGATGTCCAAATGGTAAAGGTTTTGTTTTTTTTTGAGATGGAGTTTCGTTCTTGTTGCCCAGGCTGGAGTGCAATGACGCGATCTAGGCTCACTGCAACCTCCGCCTCCTGGGTTCAAGTGATTGTCCTGCCTCAGCCTCCCAAGTAGCTGGGATTACAGGAATGTGTCACCACACCCAGCTAATTTTGTATTTTTAGTAGAGACGGGGTTTCACTGTGTTGGTCAGGCTGGTCTTGAACTCCTGACCTCAGGTGATCCACCCGCCTTGGCCTCCTAAAGTGCTGGGATTACAGGCGTGAGCCACCGCGCCTGGCCCAAAATGGTAAACCTTCAACATAAAATCACAGAGTATTAGCAATCAAAGAAAACAGAAATTGCACCTACTCAAGAACCCTATGCTACAGACAAAGAAACTGATGCTTAGAGATGAGAAATATTTTACTTAAGTCATGTAGCTATTAGTTGCCAAAAGGGAGCAGTTTTTTGTCTATGGGAAAACAATACCTCTTGGATTATTTACAACACTGCCCTTTGCATTAGCACAAATAGTTGAGAGTTGATTTTTAAGCAAATATAATATTTTCTTTGGTCAGGCAACTTTACTTGTAAAGTTTGATTAAATCATATACTCTTCACTCCTAAGCCTTTCCATCTGAAATTTTGGGAAGAGGTTGACACTTCCATCCAAACGGGTTTAAAAGGAAACTAGGTTGTCAAGAAAATGAGTGTTTGTGCAAATATTCATGGGCGTTAAAAAAATTTGTCTAATACATTGTGGGTATGTAGTATCCAGAAAAAAAACATTTTTTTTTGTGAATTTTTAATACTGGAAAGTGTAAAACCCATAATCTTCCAAAGCATTGTCTGAAGCATCCCAGAACGTTCCAAATTACAAAGACTTTTCATAGATTCTGGTTCAAAACTGTGAGAATATTTGAGATGTAACTTCACTGTCAAATCCTGCTGTACTTAATTTTATTTCATGAACATTTTCCCAAGGTCTGATTCTGTGTCTGTCAACTAAAATTTGCAGATTTTTTTAAAGTTTTCACCTTTTCTCTGTTAAAACCTTTATTTTGAATCAATGATAGCATTTATAAAACTGACTTTAAAAAATATACATACATATAGTTTCTTTAAAGTGGCGAAAGAATGTTTATCTTTTATAAGTGAAAGTTGTGATTGCATTTTACATGTAGGAATAATAAATGCCTAACCATGCACAAATAAAGAATGTGGTATATTTTGTTGTTAGGTTTTGCCTTTGGTGTTCAACAACTTCATCCAGCCCTTATACAAAGACCTTTCGGGTAAGTTGATTAATCAGGCTTTCTTAAGTTTCAGTATGACTATCATTTGTTAACGTGCCTCTTTGTTATATACAGATAAGATCATGATGTCACAGAATGGTCCTAGTTATACAATTTTATATATATTTGTGCATTTTTAATGCTGATACTATAAATATTTTTAGATGAGTCAAGTTATCTGACCAAGTATGCAGCCTCCAAACGAGACAAATTTTGAGCTTATGATTAGCAAAACAAAACAAAAATACCAGGTATGACTTGTGTACAAGACGATTGTGTCCCATCACCATTACTACTGTTCGACTTGACTCAATTTTATTTATCTCTTTCTAACCTGACAGGGCTCGTATACAGTTAAGCTAACTGATCAGAAGGATACCATGATAAGAGGTGGAATAGTTCTGTTTGGAATTAAACTCTGTAACCAGTAGACTCAGACACACAAGCTCAGATGGTGATTAACGATGCATGGATGTTGGTGTTGTTGTTTTTATTTTTCACAATAGTCAATAGCCCTTCGTGTGCTTTATTTTATTTATTACAGTAATGAAGTGGTGTTGATAGCTAAACTGTGTGCTTTTTACTTAATTGAAAAGAGCTGTAGTGAAAGTGTTTTCTTTTCCTCGGGGAAGGGGCTCTTTGCGTTTTGATTTTGGTGGTGGTGTTGAGGGGTGTTGACTTTTGACTTTGCCATGGGAAGCAAAGGGCCTTTTTTTTTTTCTTGCTTTTAAGCTGTAGCCTGTGACTTCCATTTAACCACATTTTTGTAGTGAGTGCTAAATTGTGTGATTTCTCTTTGTCAGAATACAGATTCATTGCTTGCATGTCCTAAGTTTCTGTTTTATGGGAAATTTTCTGGGAATGGGGTTCTTTCTTTTGCAATGTGTATCCACTTTTAGGCCATCTAATTTAAAGGTTCAACAACTCTCATCAGATTTTATTAACACAAGCCAGTTTTTTTGAGTAGCGTCACACTAACTTTCACCTTTCAGATCTAACTCAGGTGAACACCTGTTCATATTTATGTTGTCTTTGGGTCCTGTGATTACCAGTTTTCCTGTTCCAAGGTCCTCATTTCTCTTCCTTTCAGAGGTTATATGGGTGGGAGATCACCCCTCGCCTCAATTTATCCTGGACACTAGATTCTGTTTTGGCTCTGTTCTACCTGATCAACATGCCTGTAACTCTAACGCAGGATACTTAAATTTTCTTTTTAAATGTTCATGTTGTTGAAAGAGTGTTTTATCCTCAATAATAATTTCTCCTCTAGCTTAGGACCTAAAACATCTACCTGTGTAACCTGGAAGGCTGGAATCTGTCTACATAGATAGATGTCTACCATATGTGTCTCTAAGAATAGATTTTAAAAAGAAATTAATAATAACTTGACTTGGAAGAGTAAAGTTATATTTCCCATGACCACCTCCTTACAACTCTAACATATCGGTACCTCACTGTTATTGCCAACTACTACTATTTTTTTTTTTTTTTTTTTAGCTGTGGAAGAGTCTTCTGTTCAATATGATCAGAAAGGGCCTTCCTATATCCATAGCTACTTAGCAAATCCCCATCCAAGCCAACCCAAATACTGAAAACAAGTGGTGGGTTGATGGGTTCAGCTATTTCTGTGGGTAATTCATTTAGACTTAACTGTTTAAGGTGGGATTAGGGAGGAGAGCATATATCTGAAGGTGTGATGTGAGCTTAGTGGTGGGCTCACACTAATAATCTTGAAACAGTTATAAAATTGAATCAATCAACAGGTAGTTGCATGTGTTTATTTTTTCACTGTGCCAGTGGGTGATGCAAAATGAGGGAATTGCACATTAGTTTGGGAAGCAAAAGTCATGCAAAAACCAGTCAAGAATTATTAATTTCTAAGTGACTTGGTATTGTTTCAAGTACAAAAGGAATTCAGAGTAGCAAGAAAATAGATGAAGTGGAGGAGTTGAATAAGGCTGTGGTGTGCATGGCAGGTAGACTGGCACTAGACTTGCACCACTGGGTATGTCTTAGGCAGGTAAAAGGAAGACTGGATATGTCTGGAGGGTATAGGATGGAGTGAGCCGAAGCAGAGGCATAGAGGAGAAGACTCAGTGCGTGGAGAAACCAGACTGTCTAAGGTGGGTCTTGAGAGCTGGGCATAGGAATTTGGACTGATTGTGGAAGTCCTTATAGATCAGTTCTTAAGAAAGAAGGTAACACAAGGAAAATTACAACCACCAGTGTAAGATGTGTCATGGAAATTTGAAAGCAAGTGTGTTTTGATAGCAACCTTTTGTTTTTCACCTCTTCTAATATTAACTGTCTTTATAAAGGATGGTGATTATTAGTGTGTGCATAAATTGTTTGAACTTGAGATTCTTATTAGAAATAGATAGCATTCCAGGTGGACCAAGTGAGCTTTCTCTTTCTTTTTTAAGAGGTTCTCAACACTGCTCTAATTTCAGAGTCTGTACCTAACAAATCACACCTGGTCATCCTAAATTCTGTTTGAATGCTACATGTTCCTATTTTAGGCCTGGAAAGAAACTTGAGAATTTCAAATTTGACTTGACTTACTTGAAATTCTAGTAACTGAACTGTTCCTTTGAATGTGGTCCTTAAATGGCCCCCAGGTGACTTTGGGCCTCTGTAGACAAAACCTTGGCCTAAAAGGAATTTCTGATGTAGCACAGTGGGCAGATGTAGAAAAACTTATAAACTTGCTAAACAATATTTTATAGTTTATGGTTGAAAGAAGCATTTCCTTATTGAAACCTTGGAAAGGGGAGGCTACAGATCTGTGAGTAGAAATTTCTGGGCTAGTGGCCAGGTGCGGTGGCTCATGCCTGTAATCCCAGCACTTTGGGAGGCCGAGGTGGGTGGATCATGAGGTCAGGAGGTTGAGAGGGCGAGACCATCCTGGCTAACACAGTGAAACCCCATCTCTAATAAAAATACAAAAAATTAGCTGGGCGTGGTGGTGGGCGCCTGTAGTCCAGCTACTCGGGAGGCTGAGGCAGGAGAATGGCGTGAACCCAGAAGGCGGAGCTTGCAGCGAGCCGAGATTGTGCCACTGCACTCCAGCCTGGGCGACAGAGCGAGACTCCATCTCAAAAAAAAAAACCAAAAAACAAATTTCTGGGCTAGTTTAGATGAGGTTGAACATACACTTAAACATTGACTCAGTACCCCTTTAAGTGCTCAGTTTTATGCTGGGTGTGGTAACACTGTGCTTAGTTTTTATAGTGTCCACTAAGGAGGGCAGGAGGGACTGTAACTAACACTAACCAAACATCTGCCATATGGATTGTAATGATAAGGGATTTACATAAATTACATAATTTAATTCTCACAGTAAGTGTTTGTTGAAGGCATTGTTAATATCTTTTCCAAAACTAAGACACAGAGAGGTTAATTAACTTCCCCCTGATCACAGGACTGCTAAGTGTTAGAGGCTGAGTCTAGATTCAGAATCATGGTCTGCCTGACCTCAGAAGCTGCAGTCTTTCCTCTTTGTCAAGCTGTAGCCCCAAAAGACAAAACTCTATTCTCTCATAATCCAGTAAGAAAGCCGATAAGCACCAAGAAGGGCTGTCCATGTGGCTTCAGATAAGAGAGACGAACATCAGGACAATGAGTGGGATTCAGAAGTCTTCGTGAAGGAAGTAGAAGTTGACCTAGGTTTTAAAGAATGGTGGAGGGTAGGGAACTCTTTTATTGAGTGCCTACTATATTTGGCATTGTAGACTCTCTCCACAGATAATTTTATTTAATGCACAGCAATCCAGGGTTGTGAGATTATTAGTCCATTTCACATATGCAAAATAGGAGGCTATGTTAAGACAACAAAGCATAAAAAAAGAAACATATGAGACTAAACGATAAAGCAAATTTCTGAAACCTCTACACGTAGTGAGTGCTAGAGCTAGGGTGAGTGGGATTTGGATTTCAGCAGGTAGAGACAGTGTGAGGATTAGCATCTGGGTGAGGGATGAATGACATGAATAAAGGGCAAGAATCTGGGAATGTGAAGCTTGTCCAGGAAACATAAAGGAGCCCAGTTGACCTGGGTTTGAGGAAAGGTGGAAGGAAATACTAGAAAGGTGTTTTGGAGCCAGGGGCAGTCTGGATGTTTTGGCCTAGAATGCCAAGGCTTAAGAAATTTGCACTGAGTTTGGTTTTTTAGGGGCCAAGGATTACTTTGAGCAAATGAATGAGATGGAGTATTTGTCATCAGTTGCTGTGAGATAGATTGGAAAAAGAAACCGATTAGGATATTGCTTCAAAACCAGTTAGGATGTTGCTTTAAAAGTCACATAGAGATGTCAGTGGAACCTGAAGAGATGGGAAGAAAAGGAAAATGTAGTAAATTTTCTTTGAAAATTACCAAAAGTGTCTTCTTTGCACTTGTGCTTTTTGTAACTGCTAGGCATGCACGTTTTATGGTTAAGGAAACGACATTGGTAAATGTCTAATAGGAGGGAGATTCCCAGATCACCTTAATGGGTCTCAGACTATTAAAAAGAACTCCTAATTCAGGATTTCATTCCAAAGTGCCACTTGAACCTTCAGTCCAATTCTGCCTTCCTTCCTGACCCAGGATATTTTAGGCTCTCCAAGGTCTTTCGGGTTCTCCTTTTCCCTCTAAGCCTTAAAATGTTCTAGGTTTTCATTTGCCTTCCAGACGTCTCTTTAACCTTTGCCAAACTTCATGTAGGAGTCTGATAATCCAGTGAACTTTCTTTATATTCTCATTGTTTGACATTGTGAAATCAAAACTATTTCCTAATGCAAAGTAAATGCAGAGCTAAAGCCCCCTAAGCAACCTTGCCTGTCTTTTAATGCATTCTTCACAACACTTTCTCCTTTTTGTAGGATAAACATTTTCACTTAACACCTTAATTCAGAGATACCAACCTAGCACCCACAGTGTTGTTCTTGGAACTTTGAGAGTACAAGGGGTTAAGGTTTCGGTGTCAGTGAGATCCGCACTGGCTGGCCTTTGCAGCTGATAGATGTTTTACTTTGGCCTTATAAAGACATTTTACCCGCTGGAAACCCTTGTCGCATGACAGGATCAAAAATAGCCCGGCTGCAGCCCCTGCTGTCCATCACCACATGTAAACTGGCATAAGAGTAGGCTCTCTTAGCCGTGTCTACACGTTGTAGACACGGCAGCCTCCAGGGACAGTGTTTCATAAAGCCACACCTGTTGTTGCGAGTGAGCCAGTCACCTGACCTGCAGCAAAGTTCTGAGTGTGTGCATGACCACGCGCCTGGTTTCTGACAAGCAGTTAAGAACATCTCTGAGTGTCCTCAGAAACACTTGATGACGTCGTTTCTCCTGGCACTGGGAAACATCTACAAGTCTGGTAAAATTGAGTGTATTTTTATCATTGGGGCCAAAGTCCACTACCCTCTGAGATAAATTCATCTTTTCCATGGATGTTCGTTAATGAGTGCTTTCAGTAAAACTCTGAAAAGGCAAAGCAAAATCTATGTTTCTGAAAAATCTACAAGTGCTGTTTTCTGTTTTGAGTTCTTTGAAATTGAAAGGTTGTTACTTGTCCTTGTACTTCTTACAAGTTGGCTTTGCCAGCAACCACGTAGTATTATAGTGTCATGTTTTTAGATATAAATATAGGGGGCTTTAATGGAGATTATTTTAAAGAAGAAGATAAATCAGATATTTATGGTAGTGTTTCAGATGGGCAGTAATAAATTGCAAGAGTGAGAATGGAGATGCATGGAATTTTTGTTTAAATACCTCTTGTGATTTATTTTTTTAACCACATTAACTTTTAAGTAACGTCATTGGAGTCTGTCTTGTATTATCTGTGAATGTATAATTTTAAAAGATACTTGGTTTTGTTTGACTTTCTTGAACTTTTGCAGGATAACACATGATTATACAATTGATATGATTTGTACAAAATATCAACGAATAGGGCAGATTTCGAACATAACACTAACGTATTTCTGCTAATTTGGAGGATGAAACAAGAGTTAGTAGATGTGCAAAAAAAGTTTCCTTGTTATGTAAACCTTTTAAATTTCTATTAATTTTAGAAATATTTAGTTGTACTTCCCTGTCCTGCCTTTTCCCTCAACCTCATCATTTCCCCAAAACCCCTTCTGTCTGTCTTGCATAGAGATAAACAAGCTGGCTGACCCTCAGGTGCCTGATAGTCAAACAGGTTTGGTTGACCGTTGTGTCCTTATGAATTTTATGGGGGAAAAAAAAGAGAAAGAAAGAAAATAAGTGTGCTGCACATCTCTTTGGGAATCACTGCCATGAATGTTAATAGCATTTTTGTAGCTTCCCACGACAGCCTCTTGTGACAGAGTGAGCTGCACTACAGTTCGTTTGAGAAGTGTGATTCTGCTGTGTTTACCACACTTGTGAACTTTTAAACTCCTTTTTCTTATTTTGTCGCCTGCTTCCTTTTTTAATTATTATTTTTAATAAGGGTGACTGAGGTTGCAGAGAGATTAATGTGTGCTGAGTCTGCATAGCAATTTCAAGTAGGGTTGCCATGATAATAAACATACGGATTTTGTTAACGTTTATGTTAATTTCGACAAACTGGTGATCACCCCACAGAAGTGAATAATTATGGACTACCTTTTGAGTCCTATATTCTTGGCTAAGAATTTTTCTATTTACTTAATTAAACATTCTTATTTTATGAACTCATTACAAAATTTTCCAAAGTCTTCATCAATTGAGCACTTGTTAAACCTCTCTTACGTGTGTAGCCCTCATGAATCTTGATTTATTTTCCAAACTCTTGATAAACTGTACTTAGCAGCTCCAAATAATCATACATGACAATTCTAGCAGGGAGGGTGTCATCATATTTTTGGGGTCCAGTTCTTCTGGGGGCACTCTATGACTTTGGCTACTGCCTGAGTATTCTCAATGGACCACTAGAAAGTAGATATTGTGGCAACCCTATGCTCATAATAACCACTAAATTTGAGTTTGTTTTATCTTTGAACAACATGCTACAGTTAGGAGGTGACTACCGCCTGACTTTGTTTTCCATTTCTCAACAGGATACCTGCCCACTATGTCTATCCGCAGGCTTTTGTGCAGCCGGGAGTGGTCATTCCACACGTCCAGCCGACAGCAGCTGCCGCCTCCACCACCCCTTACATTGATTACACTGGAGCTGCATACGCACAATACTCAGCAGCTGCTGCTGCTGCCGCCGCCGCTGCTGCCTATGACCAGTACCCCTATGCAGCCTCTCCAGCTGCTGCAGGATATGTTACTGCTGGGGGCTATGGCTACGCAGTCCAGCAGCCAATCACCGCAGCGGCACCTGGGACAGCTGCCGCCGCCGCTGCAGCAGCTGCTGCCGCTGCAGCATTTGGCCAGTACCAGCCTCAGCAGCTGCAGACAGACCGAATGCAATAGACCAGCCATCTGATCAAAGTTGAATTGTTTTCTCTTTCCCTCCCAATTTTCCAATTTTTAGTAGCTAATAAGAGAGTTAACATTGACTTAACAGCTTTAAAAAAAAAAACAGCCATGCTATTGTGAAGCAGAGTTATTATTTTTTTTATACTCCAGGTAGTGTTCTAGATGAGAAAGAGGTAAGAATGAGGGGAATGGGCACAATTTTGGAAATCAATCCCAAAGAGCCTGAGTAAATGAAAGGCCACTACGAAATGACGCCAGGAGTAACAACGGAACTTCACTTTTGTAACGGGATTTTTATTTTTGCTCTTTTTATAGTATCAGGGAAGCAAACTGCCTTTTACAAGTTAGAAAATGCTGTTTGAATCTAGTTGAACCAGGGAATACAGAGCGAGCAATATGTAGCTTGAATTACATTTAAAAGCAGATTTTTTACAAACAAAATGGCGAAAGCACTGATTGTCATTTTTAGCAGTCACTTAAGGCCTATAGAACTTTTTTCAAGTCGGAAGGTCCTGTTCTTACTATCTCAAAAATGGGCATCGAACAATCAATCTAGGAGCGTGGCAGTGGGTAAAATGGTGGACAGGCACCAAAGCTATTTTCTCATCTGTCCTGTGGATGAGTGGAACTGTGGAACAAGTGATGTGGAATTAATGGGTGCAACAGCTGTACAGACAATCAATAACACACACAGTTCTGGAAAGAACACATCACTTGTGCTTGTTTGATGAGCTTGTCACATTCTAATCCCTCTCCCCATCCTGTTTCAATTTTGGGAAACTTGTATCTGCTGGTGTCAGCAATTCTGATTCTGAAATAGGATCAGGCTTTTACTACAACAGCCTTCTCTTTCTATTTATTGTGTCGACTCGTGGCTTATGAATAAAGGCAGGCAAAGTTTGCAGAACTGTCTTAAGGACATTTATTTTTTTTCCCTTTTTAAGTAATTTTACACTTTAGTATCTATTTCAGAGTCATATTTAAAACTATTTATTAGTGACTACAGTACATGAGACAACAAGGTTACTGAGATTACAATTCTTCAAAGGTTAATGATAATGTGGTTTATACTGTGCCTTAATAGTAATGCTATTTAAGATATTTATTTTTAAGTTTTACTATGCTGCACTCTAAAGAAAGGAACTTTAGATGTGACACTGTAAAATTATGTATTCATCTCATGGCATAAATTATTTAGTAAGTCTAGATGTAGCGTATTAAATATTAACCTATTCAACTAAAGATGTTGACTTGGATTTATTTAAATTCATATGTGCACTGTATAAGAGAGTACTCTTACATTAACACATTTTAGTTTAGTTTTTAGATTTTTTTTTAAACGATATATTGCTAGTTTCATGCTTCCTCCTCTGATTTTGCCTGTGTAGATTTCATTTATTGGTAATTCATTAGTTTAACACTATTATGTAGTTTTTAAATGCTGCTTTACATTTTTCTTCTGAAACTGCAATACTTGCAATTTTTATTCTTAAACTAAATTGAATACTATTTTACACTGTATTGGATTTTTATACTTGAACAATTTCATACAAGGGAAGACAGGTTAGCATTTTTATGGACTTTCTCCATTATCACTGGATTTACTTTAAGTATTCCCATACTAGACAGTGTTATGTAATGTAGACATGACTCTCCTGTGCAAATTATTTATTCGTTGTGTATATTGCTTTATAACATTTCAGATCTTCTAATCTATTCACTTGTATTAAATATAATTTTTAAAAACTTCTGTTGCATTGGCTGTTTCTAATTCTGTAGTAAAGGTCAATGATTTCTCTTTTGAACTTGAATCAATAGCCATGATTGATACGTAACATTTTCAGTGAGCATAATACTCTCTTGGATGTCCTGGTTTTGTGCCTTTAAAGTAAGTTTCACTAACTGAATATCTACCTTATACTTAGCAAATGATATAGGTCATCCCCTGTCCCACCAGGGGAGCCCTAAAGGACTTCGTATCACTGAAAACTGGTTAGCTGAAAGATGGCTTGGAAGGCGTGGGCCAGTAGTAGAGAGGACTAGTCAGAAGTGGGACCAGCCCAGTGGTGCTCGGGTCAGCTAAACTCAGGTTTGAGCTGGACTCCCCACTTTTCAGCAATGTTAGTGAAGCCAATTGCTCTTCGTAATTCACCTTTTTTTTTTTTTTTTTTTTTGAGACAGAGTCTTGCTCTGTCACCCAGTCTGGAGTGCAGTGGCACGACCTCGGCTCACTGCAAGCTCCGCCTCCCAGGTTCACGCCATTCTCCTGCCTTAGCCTCCCGCGTAGCTGGGACTGCAGGCACCCGCCACCTCGCCTGGCTAATTTTTTGTATTTTTAGTAGAGACGGGGTTTCATCGTGTTAGCCAGGATGGTCTAGATCTCCTGACCTCATGATCTGCCCGCCTCAGCCTCCCAAAGTGCTGGGATTACAGGTGTGAGCCACCGCACCTGGTCTGTAATTCACTTTTTTAATGCATTCCTCATCTATAATATTGTGACAATAATACTTGTCTCGCATGGTTATTTAAATAATTAAATTTAAAAAGCACACCAACTACTTGCCACAGAGCCAGATACATAGTAAGTAAATCTGTAGTAGTGGCCAGGCGCGGTGGCTCACACCTGTAATCCCAGCACTTTGGGAGGCCAAGGCAGGCGGATCATGGGA
Source organism: Homo sapiens (assembly GCF_000001405.40). Classification (NCBI taxonomy): domain Eukaryota; kingdom Metazoa; phylum Chordata; class Mammalia; order Primates; family Hominidae; genus Homo; species Homo sapiens. Next base: position 17,294,795 of record NC_000006.12, read on the forward strand.
GACTGAGACCATCCTGGCTAACAGTGAAACCCCTTCTCCACTAAAAATACAAAAAATTAGCCAGGCATGGTAGCACGTGCCTGTAGTCCCAGCTACTCAGGAGGCTGGGGCAGGAGAATCGGGTAGGAGAATTGCTTGAACCCAGGAGGTGGAGGTTGCAGTGAGCAGAGATCATGCCACTGCACTCCAGCCTGGGCGACAGAGCAAGACTCTGTCTCAAAAAAAACTATATATATATATATATATATATATATATGGGTGTGTGTGTGTGTATGTATATATATATATATATAGTAGCAATTGTTGTAAGGCCCAATAGTGGTAGCTAACCAGAGGAAGTCACCTATTGGGATGTTTTAATTTATATCCACAATGATGTAATATCTAATACGGTATGTGTTAGAATATCAAATGAGTGTCATATTGACAGTCTAGAAGTGTATGTTATGCTAATTATGGAGTGGATTGGGGTTGGTTTTTTTGGGTTTTTTTTTTTTTTTTTGGTTTGGTTTGTTTGTTTTAAGACAGAGTCTCGCTCTGTTGCCCCAGCTGGAGTGCAGTAGCATGATCTCAGCTCACTGCAAGCTCTGCCTCCCAGGTTCAAGTGATTCTCATGCCTCAGCCTCTCGAGTAGCTGGGATTATAGGCACCTGCCACGCACGCCTGGCTAATTTTTGTGTTTTGAGTAGAGACAGGATTTCACCATGTTAGCCAGGCTGGTCTCAAACTCCTGACCTCAGGGATCTGCCTGCCTTGGCCTCCCAAAGTGTTGGGATTACAGGCGTGAGCCACCGCACCCATCCTGGAATGGACTGTTTATTGATTTCTTGGTCCTGATATTTCCCAAATCCATTACATCTTTTCTTGAACTCCATTAGTTTTCAATAATTTTAAGCAACAGAAAGCAGTAATAACAGATTCCATAATAGTTTCCATTCCATATCATAACTGTTAGCCTATTTAGACCTATCAACAACCTTAAACTTTAATTTTCCAAGGAAAAATAGTTACCAGCCTGTCCCCAGGGAGAGAGATTACTGTACCCCAAGGTATTATCTAGGACCACTAAAATAATTTCTAAGCTACTGAATTCAGTCAATGCATCAATGGTTATTTCATTCCAAAAGATGTGCTTTAATTTTTCAGATTTATGGAAGGTCACTTTTGTCCTCAATGAGCTGTCTATTGCTGCACTTTAAAATGAAGCAGTTTTGATTTATTGATAAAAAATAGGTCAGGCAGTTCTGGGAAAAGCTTGTCAAAAATAGGCGTACTCAGGAAAGCCAAAAGTCCACCTACCCCAGGCTGTACCTTTCTTCCTGATCTGCAGCAGTAGCAATATTAGCAGTTACAGAGAACAAGATTTTTACTTCATAATGCTAAAGCATAAATTTTCTTTCTGTTCTTTTTTTCTCTTTTTGAGATGGTCTCGCTTTGTTGCCCAGGCTGGAGTGCAGTGTCATGATTGTGGCTCTCTGCAGCCTCAACCTCTCAGGCTCAAGGAATCCTCCTACCTCAGCCTCCCAAATAGCTGGGAGTACAGGTGTGCACCCACATGCCCAGCTCATTTAGTCTTGCTCTGTCCTCCAGGCTGGAGTGCAATGGTGTGATCTCGGCTCACTGCAACCTCCACCTCCTGGGTTCAAGCAATTCTCCTGCCTCAGCCTTCTGAGTAGCTGGGACTACAGGCACACACCACCAAGCCCGACTAATTTTTATATTTTTAGTAGAGACGGGGTTTCACCGTGTTGGTCAGGCTTGTCTTGAACTCCTGACCTCGTGATCCGCCCGCCTTGTCCTCCCAAAGCGCTGGGATTACAGGCATGAGCCACTGCACCTGGCCCATATTTTATTTTTTGTAGAGACAGATTCTCATGATACTGTCCAGTCTGGTCTCGAACTCCTGGACTCAAGCAATCCTCCCACTTTAGAAACCTTCCAAAGTCCTGGGATTATATGCCCAGCCACAAATACATTTCTAAAAAGAAACAAATAGAAGTTTTTAATATCTAATAGGAAGGAGAGAATAGCCGTGACATAATGATTGGTCAGGCACGCTACTTGTAGAGTTAGAGAGAGTAATGGGGCTGAGATCCAAAGTGCTGGGTGAGTCCTGGCTTCATTACTTACCAGGGTGATCTTAAACCCTTCTAAACGGATAAAATGTGGGTTGATAGTAGTCAGCATAGTTATTCCATCTACTTCTCAGGTTGTACTCATTGAATAAATTAAGGGAGATGAGAGCATTTTAGAAGTTCTAAAGCATTGAGCAAGGAAATTATCATACCGAGGAAATATGTACAATATTAATTTGGTAACTGATCTCAATTGTCTCATTAAATGACCCTTCCAAAAGAGGACAAAATCGTATCTCATGTTATCTTTATTCTATCCCAACCAAGGAACAGCTAAACTGGCTGTACAATAAAAGCAGCACAAAAATAACGTTGAAAGATGGAGAGATTACCCAGATAAGGGAAAGAGAAGTAGATGAGATTATGGAATACATTTCTCTCACAAGGGAACTATATTTAGTTCTTTCCTCACTCCTGTCAAATATTGTTCTTCTTAATTCCCTCTGAGGCTTGAAAGCATTCATTAAGATGACAGCTTGAGGTTTGGAGGGGCAGAGGTGAAGAGGAACCAAAAAATAAATAAATGCGTTTTCATGCTTACTTTTGTCCTCTCTTCTACTTCCAGAGTTCCAGGCTGTTTCCATGGAAATTCTAACTTTGTTTTGCTTAAGCACTTGGTACAGAAGAGGTTTCATTTTGAGTATTTGTTCTGAGTTGAATTTTAGAAGTTCAATCATGATTTTAGCTAAATCATTTACATTTCAAGCTTTGAAGTCCCAATTATAAATCAAACTAAGAAATGAGACAATGCCTATATGAGCCTTTTAGAATTTGTAGATAAGAAAAATGATACAGATTTATAGCTTTGATATAAAATAATTCTATCTTATTGCACAATATTTGGTCCTTCTTGACCAACTTGTTCAGAAAGAAAGTCTATAAGGTCCCTGTGTCTTCTGTCATTTGTCCCCTGGAAGACAAATACCATTCCTTTTTTATATACAAGAGGCTACCACTAAGCTATTAATATATTTTAAGTGAGTTGGAGGGTACACATTGTTTTCCATTCCGCCACTATTAGAGGTAATTCCAATTACATTATAACATGGATTGAGTACAAATCGTTACTTCTTTTCATTTAATACCTCAGATAATGTGTTCATAAAAGGGCAAATATCAAACTGACTTCCAAAATGAGTTCTAAATGCAAAAACGTAGTTTTGCCAAGTAGAAAATTACCTTTTAGCTCTATTTTTAAATGATGGTTATCTGACAGTCCCAACCAGGTATGAACTTATTTACTTTTTATATACTCCTGGCTCTGCCGCCTGTCCTGCAGATGCCTCAAGGTGAGGCAAAAGAGATACGGTGGGTGCTGTGTGGAGAGTCTTAGGACAGGCATTTTTCATTCTGCATTCACTTGTGTTCATGTTGAAATTTGAGGAAAAGGGAGTGTGAAAAGTATGTAGAGGAAAATCATTTATAAAGGGAGAGCAAAAATCAAAAGCATCTCCTAAAAATAGGCAACAGAAGGTGAGAAGAAGGAGTGGGAGTCACGTGAGCTGGATCATGTGAGACCAGGGCTTGCCACTTAGGGGATCATGGAGGGTAGAAAGGGGTGGTCATTTGTTGAGTGACAGGAGACTTCATCTGATGATAGGGAGTGGAGGATCACTCAAAGGACAGTAAACAGATACATTGTTTCCTTCTGTTTTCTAATAAAATAGGAAGGTAACAACTGAGTTTTTTTAATTTTATTTTTAATTGACAAATAATAATTGCATATATTTATGGGGTACAATGTGATGTTTCTGTACATGTATACATTGTGGTATGATCAAATCAGGCTAATGAACATAGCCCTCACCTCACATACTTATCATTTCTTTGTGGTGAGAATGTTTCATTTATTTTTGTTTTTATTTTCTTTTTGAGACAGGGCCTTGCTCTGTCACCCAGGCTGGACTGCCATGGCACCATTATGGCTCACTGCAGCCTCAGCTTCCTGGGCTCAAGCGATCTCACCTTAGCCTTCAGACTAGCTGGGACTACAGGCACACACCACCATGCCCGGATAATTTTTTTGTGTGTGTGTGTTTTGTAAAGACAGGATTTCACCATGCTGCCCAGGCTGGTCTTGAACTCCTGGGCTCAAGTAATCCACCTGTCTTGGCCTCCCAAAGTGCTAGGATTACAGGTGGCGTTCGCCACCATGCCTGGCCAGGTGAGAACATTAAACATCCACCCTTAGCAATTTAGAAATATACAACACATTACTATTAATCGTAGCCATGTTGCTATGCAGTAGATCACCAGAACGTATTCCTCCTATTCAACTGCAACTTTGTACTCTTTGACCAGCATTTTCTATTTTTCCATCCAATCCCCTCCCACCCTACCCCCCAGCATCTGGTAACCACTATTCTACTTTCTACTTCTATAAGTAGTTAGAGGTGCAGGACTCTTTTCTCACATCCCATTGCACTTTCCAAGTGAGTGGACAGTGAGTGGAAAGAGAGGGGAAAGATCCAAATATAGGTAAGATCACGTGATATCTTTCTGTACCTGACTTATTTTACTGAGCATAATATCCTCTATATTCATCCATGTTGCTGCAAAAGACATAATTTCCCCTTTTTAAAGGCTGAATAGTATTCTTGTGTGTGTGTGTGTGTGTGTGGATACACACACTATTTTTTTAATCCACTCGTCCACTGATGGGCACTTAGTTTGTTTCCATGTCCTGGCTATTGTGAATAATGCAATGAACATGAAGTCACAAGATACCTTTTCGACATTTCAATTCTTTTGGCTATATATCCAGAAGTGGGATTGCTGGATCATATGGTAGTTCTATTTTTAGTTACCAGCTGAGTTCTTGAACCATGCTTATAAAGGTTTAGGCTTTTTTTTAATGGAATGTATTCTTTGTAACTGAAAACTTTTAGAAACCATTATGGCACCTCTAGTAGGTTTAGCTAGAGCTCAGTAATGGACATTGGGCCTCCAGGGACAGGGAACATTGGCATTCTTTTATCTATTGTCACTTCCTATTTCAAGCAGGCAAGTGAGTGGAAAGAGAGGGGAAAGATTAAAGAAAATGTGTGTACCGTGCTCTCCAGTATACTTTGGATCAATGCATGAAGCCATTTGTGGCTGGGAAACTCAAGCTCTTCACATCTGTATTTGCCCTGCAGTGCTGCCTCTGACTTGACACTGGCCTACTCCTGTCAGTGGGCTTTGGGAGAAATGGAAAGTGCAATGGGATGTGAGAAAAGAGTCCTGCGCCTCTAACCACCTACCATGTGCCAGGTACTTGTATTTAATCCTCACAACAGTGATTGGTAGGTAACAGTATCCCCCATTTTTCAAAGAAAAAAGCCTGCCCACAGTCACGGTGTCAGTATGGTGCAGAACCCGGATTTCAAGATGGTATGCTGTCAGTCCTTTTGTGTGGTTATAAAGGGATACCTGAGACTCAGTAATTTATAAAGAAAAGAGGTTTACGGCCGGGCACGGTGGCTCATGCCTGTAATCCCAGCACTTTGGAAGGCCGAGGCAGGCGGATCACAAGATCAGGAGATCGAGAACATCCTGGCTAACACGGTGAAACCCCGTCTTTACTAAAAATACAAAAACAAAATAAGCCGGGCGTGGTGGCAGGTGCCTGTAGTCCCAGCTAGTCAGGAGGCTGAGGGAGGAGAATCGCTTGAACCTGGGAGGCAGAGCTTGCAGTGAGCTGAGATCGTGCCACTGCACTCCAGCCTGGGCGACAAAGTGAGACTTCGTCTCAAAAAAAAAAAAAAAACAGACAAGAAAAGAGGTTTATTTGTCTCGTGGTTCTGCAAGCTGTACACGAAGCACAGTGCAGATATCTGCTTCCAGTGAGGGCATCAGGAAGCTTCCAACTGTGGCGGACAATGGAGGGGGAGCCAGTGCATCCCATGGCAAGAGTGGGAGTGAGAGGAGTGTGGGGAGGTGCCAGGCCCTTATAAACAACCTGATCTCACCTGAGCTCATAGAGTGAGAACTCACTCATTACCATGAAGACAGCACCACCATTCATGAGGGACCAGCCCCTATGACCTAATCACCTCCCACTAGGCCCACATCCAACAGTGGAGGTCATATTTCAACATGAGATTTGGAGGGGACAAGCATCCAAACCATACCATGTGGCCTGAAACCAAATCCCAAATGCACACCACCTCACTGCACTGCTTTTGACCACTCCTTTTTCTAGTGAATTCTATGAGTTTCCATTGCTCTTCCTTAAGTAGAGCCATTGGTTCTCTGTCTTGAGCCTCCTGTTACACATGAGCAGGCAACACTGACTTAGTGGAGAGAAAATGCCTACCTGTAGATTTGAATTTTGGGGGAGGATGGAGACAGAAGATTCCAGGGGAGCTGAAGCAGCCTTCAGGATTGCCCTGAACACATTTGATTTATTCTCAACCACAGCTGAATCTATCCTTCTGACCTTCAGCCTAACTTCTAACTACTTTTGTGCCCGCTTATCACTGGAAGATCATATAAAAAAAAAAATTCTTCCAATGCAAATTTTCCACACCGTGTCTACTTCATCAATACTATTTTCTTTTTTGTTGTTTTGTTTTTTGAGACAGAGTCTCGCTCTGTCGCCAGGCTGGAGTGCAGTGGCGCGATCTCAGCTCACTGCAAGCTCCGCCTCCCAGGTTCACGCCATTCTCCTGCCTCAGCCTTCCGAGTAGCTGGGATTACAGGCTCCCACCACCATGCCCGGCTAATTTTTTTGTGTTTTTTAGTAGAGACGGGGTTTCACCGTGTTAGCCAGGATGGTCTCGATCTCCTGACCTCGTGATCCGCTTGCCTCGGCCTCCCAAAGTGCTGGGATTACAGGCATGAGCCACCACGCCCGGCCTCATCAATAGTATTTTCAAAGCACTCTATATGCTTTGTCGTCTACCACGTTTTGCAATGTGCTTGGCATAAACCAATGCCCCCATGGAAAGATAATACATTGGAAGAGTGCAACTGGGCAAAGGTGAAGTTAAAGGAAGTATCTGAAATTCCAGGAGGACTCAGGGTAGTTGTCGGTATAAAACCCTGCCTCACAGATCGTTTGGCTTGGGGCTCTCTCTGCAGCTATTGCTTCCTTTTTGTTTCTCAAATTTGTTTTTTTTTTTTTTTTTTTTAGAGACAGGTTCTCACTATATTGCCCAGGCTGATCTCAAACTCCTGGGCTCAAGCTATCTTCCTGCCTTGGCCTCCCAAAATCCTGGGATTACAGGTGTGAGCCACCACATCCAGCCTTGCTTTCATTTTTAAAGAGTCATTCTGTGTTATAGATCAATATCTGAGAAGGAATATTGGTTGTAATAACATCAGTTGAACACCCTTTTCTTTTTCATTTTTTTTTTTTTAACTGTTGTTACTCCTTTACTTTAAATATCCTGACTTTTGGCTACCATTTACCGAGCATCCATTTGTGCCAGACGCTGAATGCACTGGCTTACGTCCTCACAACCTCACAGCAGGCCTGGAATTGTCATCTTCATTTTACAGAGTGAATGTAATTTGCCCAAAGTCACAACTCAAGATGGTAGAACTGTGAGTTGAAATGGGGATCTGTCCGATGGCAAAGAGTAACTGCCCCTGGATTATTTTAGCATCTTTTTCTACGTCACTAGGAATTGTCTTAGAAATTCTAAGGAAAGCTAAATAAACATGACTTCAATTCTGGGGTCAAGACCAAATCTAAGGACTCTGAGGCGAGTCGTAGACATGATCAAAACCGTTAATAAGGATCATAGAACATAAACATCTCTATGCTCATTTTCTCTCATTTCTATTGGCAACATTTGTTCAGTGATAATACTAAGGATTATTATGAGTAGTCATCTCGGCCTCAGTCCACTTGTGCCTTTGTGGGGAAAACATACTAATGCTGTGATTTACTATGACAAACTCCTATAAAATTGAATAAGAGTATATCTCAGTTTATGTCAAAGAATATCAAGTAATCATAACCTTTTAATAAACATTGCCTCTTTTAATAATAACAACTTTGGATTTAAATAGACAATATAGTTACTAAAGGTGTATGGTTCAAGTCATCTACCACTAATTGCTTGCTTGACTCCTTTAAAACTCAGAGGAAAAGAAAATGTACATACACACAATGAAATGCTATTCAGGCCGGGCACGGAGGCTCATGCCTGAAATCAGCGTGAGCTGATTTGGGAGGCCGAGGCGGCTGATCATGAGGTCAAGAGCTGGAGACCATCCTAAAAATTAGCTGGGCGTGGTGGTACATGCCGGTAGTCCCAGCTACTTGGGAGGCTGAGGCAGGAGAATTGCTTGAACCTGGGAGGCAGAGGTTGCAGTGAGCTGAGATCGCACCACTGCACTTCAGCCTCGCAACAGAGTGAGACTTCGTCTCAAAAAAAAAAAAAAAAAAAATTAGCTGGGAGTGGTGGCATGTGCCTGGAGTCCCAGCTACTTGGGAGGCTAAGGTGAGAGGATCACTTGAGCCCTAGAGGCAGAGGTTGCAGTGAGCCAAGATCATGCCACTGAACTCCAGCCTGGGCAACAGAGCCAGATCCTGTCTCAAAAAGGGAAATAAAAGGAGAAGAAAGAAGAGGAAAAGACAGAGGAAGGGGGGGGAGGGGGGAGGGGAGGGCAGGGGAGAAAGGAGAAGGTAAGGAGAAAATAAAGGGAAAGAGAAACAGAAGGGAAAAGGAAAAAGGGAAAGGGAAGGGAAAAGGGAAGGAGAAGGGAAGGAGAAGGGAAAAGGGAAGGCGAAGGGAAAAGGGAAGGAAAGGAATGCTACTCAGCCATAACAAAAATGAAAGCCTGTCATTTGCAGCAACATGGATGGAACTGGAGATCACTATGTTAACTGAAATAAGCCAAGCAAAGAAAGACAAATATCGCCTGTTCTCATTCATATATGGGAACTTAAAAAGTTGATTTCATGGAGGTGGAGCATAAAATGATAGTTATCGGAGGCTGGGAAGAGTGTAGGGGGATGAAAAGAAGTTGATTAATGGGTACAAACATATAGTTAGATAGAAGGAATAAGTCCCAGCGTTCGATAGCACAGTAGGGTGACTATCATTAACCACAATTTATTGTATATTTCAAAATAGCTAGAAAAGAAGATTTGAGGCCAGGCGCGGTGGCTCACGCCTGTAATCCCAGCACTTTGGGAGGCTGAGGCAGGCGGATCACGAGGTCAGGAGATGGAGACCGTCCTGGCTAACACGGTGAAACCCTGTCTCTACTAAAAATACAAAAAATTAGCCAGGCATGGTGGCGGGCGCCTGTAGTCCCAGCTACTCGGGAGGCTGAGGCAGGAGAATGGCGTGAACCCGGGAGGGGGAGCTTGCAGTGAGCCAACATCGCGCCACTGCACTCCAGCCTGGGAAACAGAGCGAGACTCCGTCTAAAAAAAAAGAAGATTTGAAATGTTCCCAATACAAAGAAATGATGAATGTTCCAGGTGATGAATATGCTGAGAAGCCACCATAGAAAAATACCCTGATTTGATCATTACACATTGTGTGCAAGTATCAAAATATCACATGTACCCCATAGGTAGGTATAATTATTATATAGCAATACAAAAAATTTAGTCTGGGCATGGTGGCTCACCCTTATAATCCCAGCACTTTAGGAGGCCAAGGTGGGAGGATTGCTTGAGCCCAGGAGTTAAAGACCAGTCTGGGCAACATGGGAGGCCTTGTCTACAAAACATTTTAAAAATTAGCCAGCCAAGGTGACACCCACCTGTAGTCCCAGCTACTCAGGAGGCTGAGGCGAGAGGATCGCTTGAGCTTGGGAAGTCAAGGCTGCAGTGAACTGTGATTGTGCCACTGCACTCCAGCCTGGGCAACAGAGCAAGACCTTGTCTTAAAATTAAATTAAGTTAAAAACAAATTTTTAATAATTTTTTTTTTTGAGATGGAGTCTTGCTCTGTCACCAGGCTGGAGTGCAGTGGCGCGATCTCGGCTCACTGCAACCTCCACCTCCTGGGTTCAAGCAATTCCCCTGCCTCAGACTCCCTAGTAGCTGGAACTACAGGCGTGCACCACCACACCCAGCTAATTTTTTTTATTTTACTAGAGATGGGGTTTCACCATGTTGTCCAGGATGGTCTTGATCTTCTGACCTCGTGATCCACCCGCCTTGGCCTCCCAAAAGTGCTGGGATTGCAGGCATGAGCCACTGCACCTGGCCAGAAATTGTTTTTAAACCGAGAGAAGATGAAGGAGAAATGGAGATTTGAAGTCATAATGGCAGAAGCAGGACCCATCGCAGTTTAGGAATGGCCAAGTGAGAGCCTGGCACAGTATCGTAACTCCTAAGAGAGTTTGAGGAGTAAAACTGCCTGGTAAAAGGAGTCATTTTACCAGGACTCGTCCTTTAAGTGCACATGTTGAATGTCTATGTCCGGGGCATACCGAGAATCTTGATCATTCACACTTTCATAACAGCTGCATTTCTTATCATGTTTGGCATAGTTCTTCAGCTTGCACAAAGCCTCTTATCTCGCCCACAGTCCCTCTCTAGACCATTGTCTCTTTCAGCTGCTTAGAGGCCACGTCCCTTAAATCTCCCAGCTGTCTTTCTTACCTCTCAGCCCTTGCTTCCTTTATCTGTATTTTAAAAAAAAAAATCTTTCCCAGCTGCCACTTTTGGCACAGTGGTGGTCTCTCAGTTCTCTCAGAATGAGACATTTCAGCAAGATGATGTGGGGAAGAAACATAACCATTATAACAATGCATTTTCAAAATTAGCCCTGAAGTTCTATCAAGAAAAAAATTTCATCCCAGCTTTCTTACAACCTGTGCATGAATCAACCTCGTGCATTTCTGAAAGGATGAGACATCCCGGAGGCTTGTGCACAGAAATGCAAGCAAGAACCACAGGGCACTTAATTGTCCAAAATAAGAGATTTTTCTCCTTAGAAATGCAGATTCTCTGTGGCTGCAGCCTTACTGAGTTTCTGTAACGCTCTCAGTTGGATACAATGCTAACCAGCATCCCCACTGTGCACAGATACGTAAATGCTAGAAGCTGCAGAAAAAATTCATTTTATTGGAAACTATTTGGCTTCACTTGGCTACTGCCAATACCGCTGGTTGATTCCAAGCTTCTGTACTCAATGTGATTGTCAGTGCACAGGATAATTCTTACAAGAGAATTTTGGTGGTTCTGTGGAGTTACCAGATTTTCTTTTTTTTTCTTTTTTTTTTTTTTTTGAGACAGAGTCTCGCTCTGTCGCTCAGGCTGGAGTGCAGTGGTGCGATCTCGGCTCACTGCAAGCTCCGCCTCCCAGGTTCACGCCATTCTCCTGCCTCAGCCTCCCGAGTAGCTGGGACCACTACAGGTGCCCGCCACCATGCCTGGCTAATTTTTTGTATTTTTAGTAGAGACGGGGTTTCACCGTGTTAGCCAGGATGGTCTCGATCTCCTGACCTTGTGATCCGCCTGCCTCAGCCTCCCAAAGTGCTAAGATTACAGGCGTGCGCCACTGCCCCCGGCCTAGATTTTCTTAATGTGATGAGTTCTGAGTGATTAAGAGATATAGTATATCAGTATTTGAGGATTTTTATAACTATGCAATAAGTCTTGAGGATCTCTGCACAGCAGAGAGGGGGGATTTGGAATGGCACACTGCCAGGCACTGCTAAGAGTTTTTGGCTCGGCAATTGTCACTCCTTCATTCCCATTCAAGAAAATGCTCAAAAAAATACAAGTGTCTTGGGTAATATACTTGCTCCCTTTGGGGGTGACCAATCTTGCACTTTCCATATTAACCCAGGAAATTTGAACAAATTTGTTGAAATATCTTTGTGTTGCCAGTACACCATTAAGACAAATTATTCTCCCAAAGAGTGATATCAACCAATGTTGAAGGTAAATCTCTTAATTGTACAGAAATACATAGCCACCATGCTACAAAGTAAGTTCAAACTTTTTTTTTTTTTTTTTGAGATAGAGTTTCACTCTTGTTGCCCAGGCTAAACTGCAACGGCGCCATCTCCGCTCACTACAACCTCTGCCCTCCGGGTTCAAGCAATTATCCTGTCTCAGCCTCCCAAGTAGCTGGGACTACAGGCGCCCGCCACCATGCCTGGCTAATTTTTGTATTTTTTAGTAGAGATGGGGTTTCATCATGTTGGCCAGGCTGGTCCTGAACTCCTGACCTCACGTAATCCATCCGCCTTGGCCTCCCAAAGTGTTGGGATTACAGGTGTGAGCCACTGCGCCTGGCAGAAACTTTTTATATATTCAATGAAGTCCAGGTTCTTGGGGTAAAGGGAAAATCAGCAGCTAAGGTCTATCTAAGCTGTATTTACTCATTGGGAGCATCTTCTCAAGCAAAATCAATCAACATATCTGAACTTATTCTGAAGAAATCTGCATTGATTATAGTCTACCTAAAGGAGCAGCTGAACTGATACACAGCATATGCATCTCCAAGCTGAAATGGGAAAATTCAAATCTTAGTATTGCTAATTAGATAACAGTTCAGATCCTGATAGAAATAGCTTGTATTAGAAGGCTAGAGGTTCTGTAACTATAAAAGATAAACTGGTGTTGGGCCGGGCATGGTGGCTCATGCCTGTAATCCCAACACTTTGGGAGGCTGAGGCGGGCGGATCACCTGAGGTCGGGAGTTCGAGACCAGCCTGACCAACATGGAGAAACCCCGTCTCTACTAAAAATAGAAAATTAGCTGGGCGTGGTGGCGCATGCCTGTAATCCCAGCTACTCTCAAGGCTGAGGCAGGAGAATCGCTTGAATCCGGGAGGCAGAGGTTGCAGTGAGCCGAGATCGCGCCATTGCACTCCAGCCTGGGCAACAGGAGTGAAACTCCGTCTCAAAAAAACAAAAAAAGATAAACTGGTGTCATATTTGAGATCCTCCGATTCCAGAAGTTTGTAATCTGAGTTGGCTCAGACCTTCATAGCCCTGGGGCAGACAAATGATACAGGGAGTACAGTCTACAGGTTAAAATTTTAAAATGAAAATTGCTATAATTTTTCGTTTCTAGAATCATGCTTTGTCTTTTTGTTGTAATAGTGTTCTCCCTTCCTGTTCTAATACAAAGATATCAATACTAAAATCTAACCTTTACTGGGCACTGCTGGGCATTTCCTCTGTATAAAAAGCTCAGTACACATTGCTGGGATTTTGCTTCTGTGGAATAGCCAGTCTGCGACTCCTAACACGTCCTTGATGTTCTTAATTTTTACTAGGTCTTTGAATAACTGACTTTTTCAAATCTCTATTAGAATAAAGTAGGAGTAACTAAAATGGTGGAAGCTGGTTTTTGGTTTTTTTTTTTTTTTTTTTTTTTTTGAGACAGAGTCTTGTTCTGTCCCCCAGGCTGGAGTGCAGTGGCACAATCTCAGCTCACTGCAAGCTCCGCCTCGTGGGTTCATGGCATTCTTCTGCCTCAGCCTCCCAAGTAGCTGGGACTACAGACACCCGCCACCACGCCCGGCTAATTTTTTTTTTTTTTTTTTGTATTTTTAGTAGAGACGGGGTTTCACTTTGTTAGGCAGGATGGTCTCGATCTCCTGACCTCGTGATCCGCCCGCCTCAGCCTCCCAAAGTACTGGGATTACAGCCGTGAGCCACTGCACCCAGCTGAAGCTGGTTTCTTAAAATTAACATTTTCACTATTTTATAGATCACTTATCTTTCTTATAATCATCCCAGAGGAATTATTTGCAATGGTAATGGTAAAATTTTAATCATTTTCATGAACTCAGGTCGAGTGAGATGCACCCAGTATATGTTTATAGATTCTTCTTTTTTCAGACATAGAAGAGATGTTAGTTAACACTGATATGGATGCAAGCATAAAAACTGTAGAAAGGCTACAGGAACATGCAAGTGCATCAGAGAGTGAGGCAAGATATTCGCTAAAGGCGGCAAAATAAAAATAGCATGCAACATGGTATAAAGAATCATAAATTTAAGCAAAGAGAAGCATTGAACTATGTAACTGTTCCAGTTACTTACTGAGGTATCATAAACCACCCCCAAACTTGGTAGTGTAAAAATAAAAACAGGCTGGGCATGGTGGTTCACGCCTGTAATCCCAGCACTTTGGGAGGCCGAGGCAGGTGGATGACTTGAGGTCAGGAGTTTGAGACCAGCCTGGCCAACGTGGCAAAATCCCGTCTCTACTGAAAATACAAAAAGTAGTGGGGCGTGGTGGCACATGCCTGTAATTCCAACTACTCAGGAGGCTAAGGCAGGAGAATCACTTGAACCCAGGAGGCTGAGGCTGCAGTGAGCTGAGATTGCTCCACTGCACTCCAGCCTGGGCGACAGAGTGAGACTCCATTTCGAAAAAAAATTAAAAATAAATAAATAAAAATAGAAACAGCAATTCTTTTCCTTTTTTTTTTTTTTTTTTTTGAGACGGAGCTTCGCTCTTGCTGCCCAGGCTGGAGTGCAATGGCGCAATCTTGGCTCACTGAAGCCTCCGCCTCCCGAATTCAAACGATTCTCCTGCCTCAGCCTCCCAAGTAGCTAGGATTACAGGTGTGCACCACTACACCCGGCTAATTTTTGTGTTTTTAGTAGAGACGGGGGTTTCACCATGTTGGCCAGGCTGGTCTCGAACTCCTGACCTCAGGTGATCTGCCCACCTTTGCCTCCCAAAGTGCTGGGATTACAAGCATGAGCCACCGCACCCAGTTCTCTTCTCTTCTCTCTGTTCTTCTCTTCTCTCTGTTCTTCTCTTCTTTCGATGGAGTCTCGCTCTGATGCCCAGGCTGGAGTGTAGTGGTGTGATCTCAGCTCACTACAACCTCCACCTCCCAGGTTCAAGTGATTCTCGTGCCTCAGCCTCCCCAGTAGCTGGGAATATAGGACTGTGCCACCAGACCCAGCTAATTTTTTGTATTTTTAGTTGAGACCATATTGGCCAGGCTGGTCTCAAACTCCTGAACTCAGGTGATCCACCCACCTCAGCCTCCCAAAAGTGCTGGGATTACAGGCATGAGCCACGGCGCCTGGCCAGAAACAGCAGTTTTCTTGTGCTTGCTGCCTGTGGATCAGAAATTCAGAAAGGGCATAGTGGGGACAGATCTTCTCTGCTCTTTAGAGTCTACTCTGCAATCAGTGGGATGATTAGAATGGCGGCCTGAACTGCTGGGGCTGGAAGATCACTTCCACAATAGTGTCTCAGCATGGTTGCCCCAGGGCTGTTAGACGACTTTTCACAGAACAGTCCAGAACTCTGAAAGCAAATGTTTCCCATCAACAAGGTGGAGGCTGCACATCCTCTCCGGGCCTGGCCTGAGAAGTTACATAGCATCACTTCCATCACATTCTGTCAATTCCAAGTGAGTCCCAACCCAAACTCAATGGCAGCGACTTTGACCCCACCTTCTGGTAAAAAGAATAAGAGGTATTTGATGTCATCTTAAAACAAAGTTTTAAGATCATCATTAACAGTTTTCCCCCCCAATATAAATTCATTTATCTTTAATGCTTTTTTTCATCCCAATGTCTAATTTATAAAATATAAATTATCTTCCTCTTTCTTTGGCTGTTGCTTATTTGTGAATAATAGGAATTGGTGTGTTAAGTTATGAGTGACAGAGCCCCTGGATGTATCTGCGCAAGAGGTTACTTCTTAGTATCAGACGTATTACAGATTTGTTTTTTTTATTTTGGTTTTTTTTTTTGAGATGGAGTCTTGCTCTGTTGCCCAGGCTGGAGTGCAGTGGTGTGATGTTGGCTCAAGGCAATCTTTGCCTCCCAAATTCAAGTGATTCTCCTGCCTCAGCCTCCCGAGTAGCTGGGATTACAGGTGCCCGCCACCATGCCCAGATAATTTTTGTGTTTTTAGTAGAGACGGGGTTTCACTATCTTGGCCAGGCTGGTCTTGAACTCCTGACCTCAGGTGATCCACCCGCCTCGGCCTCCCAAAGTGCTGGGATTACAGGCGTGAGCCACTGCGCTTGGCCTACAGATTAGCTTTAATAATAAAACAGAAATGCAAATGTGAGTAGGATATGTTAAATAGTTATGATATGTGACTCATCACCCAACTTTTTAGGAGACTGATGCTTTTTCTAAACCTAATAATCAACTTGCCAGATACTAGGATGGGAGTCCAAATTCCTAGAGTTGTGATATACACCAGAGGAAAAATAGCCAGATCTAAGGAGCACAGAGGAAATCCTAACAATACAAGGTAGGAGCCCAGGCTCAGAGGAAGCCAGCAGGCTGTATGATGAGAAGAGCATGGGACTGGGAAGCTAGAGGCTCCAAGTTCAATTCATGCTCCACCAGTATTCATCATTATGTGCTGGGGCAAGTCTATTTCTTCGTCTTAAGTTTCTTCCAAGAGTTTGGGCTAGGTAACCTCAGGAGTCCCTTCCTTCAGTTATAATAACACTACAATTTTAGTTCAAGTCCCTCCTACTACACTCCTATCAGAGGAGCTTTTAAAGTATATATGAAAAGAAGACAGGAAAAATAATTAAACAAGCATTTCTTTGGTAACCTACTTTATCTTACAATAGACCTGGTGCTTTGTGCATTTCAGTGCATTTTTGCATGTAATAAAATGCCTAAATGAAGAAAGACATGAGAAAGAGCTTGAAGAGAAGGTATTTTAATGCAGCCAGGTTACAATCAGGATTTGGGGTCCAGCGAGAGCTTCCCGGCCAACCTGAGGGACATCCAGCAATGATGTCTATCTAGAACAATGACAATAATTGCCAGTGTCCCTCCCCTCCCTTTTCAAGCTCACCTGATACCTCTGCTATTCACTCAGCCTGAGAAAAGGCACTCTGCCTTTGAGCAGCAGCTTGAACGACAGCCACCCTCACATTGCCTTGGGCGAGCACGCACGTGGGCTGCTATACGGAGACATCTGTGCCCGCTGAAGTGAGGCTGAAGAGCTGTGTTGTCTAGGGTGACAGGAGGCCTTGCCTAACAGTGAGCTCCATCAATAATCTATGGCCCTGTGGAGAAAGAACCCTATTAATAAGACATGTTGCTGTTTGGAGAAGACAGAGCCAATGAGGCCCTCGTTCCAGGGAAACAGAATATGCTCAGCATGACGCAGCACTCCCTGAACTTTCCGGTTACATCACCCAATAGCTGAGATCAGAAGCAATTTTAGAAGATACATTCAACATACTAATGCCCTTTCAGCCAGCCTAGTTCAGTAAGGTCAAAGTCTGGTCAAAAACACACTTTGACCTGAGGTTTGCTTGTTTGTTTGTCTTTAAGACTGATCAAGAGCACTGAGTTATTTTCGCACACTGGGCTTGTTATCAGGTCACTGTTTAAGTATAGAAATGTTTATCTGGGTGGTTTTAGATCCAATATGGAAGACTGAAAATCCTCCGAATTCCCAAATATATTTTCCATTCCATTTAAAGCTCACAATCTTCTAGGTCCGCCCAGTTCTTCTTTATGGCAACAGTTAATTATTAATCCTTCCTTACTTTTAGGTTGTAATTTAAGAGTGCATTAATAGATTGCTCACTCGGTATTTTGCCAAAATCATGGCAGGACAAATTCGCTAGTGTATGATGGCTAGAAGCATGAACTTGGAGGCAGACTGACCTGGGACTGGGTCTAGGCTCTACCACTTGCCAGCTGTGTGATCTCAGGAGAGTTACACACCCTCTCTGAGTCTCCATTCCTTCTCTGTCATGGGGGAAATGTCTCATAAAGTATGATAATGTAAAGCATAGAGCAAAGCAAGTAATAAGCATTCAATAAAGAGTAGGTTTTTGTTGTTGTTTTTGAGATGAAGTTTCACTCTTGTCGCCCAGGTGGGAGTGCAATGGCGCGATCCCGGCCCACTGCAACCTCTGCTCCCCAGGTTCAGGCAATTCTCCTGCCTCAGCCTCCCAAGTAGCTGGGATTACAGGCATGTGCCACCATGCCCGGCTAATTTTGTATTTTTAGTAGAGACGGCGTTTCTCCATACTGGTCAGGCTGGTCTCAAACTCCCGACCTCAGGTGATCCACCCACCTCGGCTTCCCAAAGTGCTGGGATTATAGGCGTGAGCCACTGCACCTGGCCACATTGCTTATTAAGTATCTAAGAGAAGATGCCAAGCAGGCAGTTTCATCCACCGGTGTAGAGTTTAGCAGAGATGTCAGGGTCTGAGACAAAACTGTGAGAACTGTTGTAATCATTAAAGCTATTCACCAATTTTTTTTTTTTAAGTTGGAATCTTGCTCTTATTGTCCAGGCTAGAGTGCAGTCGCAAGATGTCAGCTCACTGCAACCTCCGCCTCCAGGTTCAAGCGATTCTCCTGCCTCAGCCTCTCGTGTAGCTGGGATTACAGGTGTGTGCCACCATGCCCAGCTAATTTTTGTATTTTTAGTAGAGACAGGGTTTCGCCATGTTGGTCAAAGTGGTCTCGAACTCCTGACCTCAGGTGATCCACCCACCTCAGCCTCCCAAAGTGCTGCAATTACAGGCATAAGCCACCGCACCTGGCCCACCAATATTTTTAGTTCACTCCTTCCATTATGGTAGGACCCTCTTGTCTACCCCCTTAAAGTTAGGCACAGCCATGTGACTTGCCATAGCCAATGAAATGAAGGTGGAAGGGGCTGTCTCACTTCAGGCAGAATCCTTAAGCTTTAAGAGTATGGGCTGGTCACGGTGGCTTATGCCTGTAATCCCAGCACTTTGGGAGGCCAAGCGGGGGGTGGATCACCTGAGGTCGGGAGTTCGAGACCAGCCTGACCAACATGGAGAAACACCATCTCTACTAAAAATACAAAATTAGCCAGGTGTGGTGGTGGGCGCCTGTAATCCCAACTACTTGGGAGACTGAGGCAGGAGAATCGCTTGAACCCTGGAGGTGGAGGTTGTGGTGAGCTGAGATCATGCCATTGTACTCCAGCCTGGGCAACAAGAGTGAAAC
Organism: Homo sapiens; assembly: GCF_000001405.40. NCBI lineage: Eukaryota > Metazoa > Chordata > Mammalia > Primates > Hominidae > Homo > Homo sapiens. The sequence goes on from NC_000006.12 coordinate 17,313,791, forward strand.
TCCGTCTCAAAAAAAAAAAAGGAGTATGATTCTCGGCCAGGCACAGTGGCTCACGCCTGTAATCCCAGCACTTTGGGAGGCCGAGGTGGGTGGATCACAAAGTCAAGAGTTTAACACCAGCCTGGCCAAGATGGTGAAACCCTTTCTCTACTAAAAATGCAAAAAATTAGCCAGTTGTGGGAGCGGGCGCCTGTAATCCCAGCTACTCAGGAGGCTGAGGCAGAAAATTGCTTGAACCAAGGAGGCCAAGGTTGCTAAGACTGCACCACGCACTCCAGCCTGGGCAACAGAACCATACTCTATCTCAAAAAAAAAAAAAAAAAAGAGTATGATTCACCATGTCCCTGAGCGACCATGATGAACAGATACCCCTGTTGATTCATGACGGACATTTTACAGTGAAAGAGAAACATCTTTGTTGTTCTAAATGACTGAGATTTGAGGGTGGTGTGTAGAAAAATCTAGCCTATTGTGTATGAGCCCTAAAGATAGGACAGTATTTAAATGCTTCGAACTGGATGAGATCCCCTTCAGCATGAGTGTTAATGACAATGAGAAGGAACTGAGTCCTTAGCATTTCAGATGTCAACACTGAAAGGTAAGGAAGAAAGGGGAATTCCAGGGAAGGAGATTGCTGTGGAACGAAATGTTTGTGTCCCTGCAAGTTCGTATGCTGACAACCTAATCCCCAATGTGATGGAATTAGGAGGTGGGCCTTTGGGAGGTGATTAGATCACAAGGGTGGACCTCTTATGAATGGGATTAGTGCCCTTATAAAAACAGGCTCCAGAGGCAGGTACGGTGACTCATGTTTGTAATCCCAGCACTTTGGGAAGCTGAGGTAGAAGGATCACTTGAAGCCAGGAGTTCGAGACCAGCCTGGGCAACATAGGGACATTTGTCTCTACAAAAAATAAAATAATTAGCCAGGCGTGGTGGCATGCACCTGTAGTCCCAGCTACTTGGGAGGCTGAAGTAGGTGGATCACTTGAGCTCAGAAGATCCAAGCTGCAGAGAGCTATGATCACGCCACCACACTCTAGCTTGGCAGACAAAGTCTCTGTTTCAAAGAGAGAGACAGAGGCTCCAGAAAGCTGCCTCACGATAGAAGGCTCTGTCTATGAGGAACTGGACACCAAGTCTGCCAATGTCTTGATCTGGGACATCCCAGCCTCCTGTGAGAAATAAACTTCTGTTGCTTCTAAGCTACAAGGCAATTCTCATGCCTCAGCCACCCGAGTAGCTGGGATTACAGGCATGCGCTACCACACCAGGCTAATTTTTGTATTTTTAGTAGAAATGGGGCTTCACCATGTTGGCCATGCATTATGGCATTTTGTTACAGAAGCCCAAACAGACTAAGACAGACACTGAGGAGTCGCTAAGGAAAAGTGAGAGGTCAAGTGAAGAAGTTGCCTCAAGAAGAAGGAAGTAGTCAACTGTGTCAAATGCTACGATAGGCTAAGAAAGATGAGAACGGGGAAATAAACACGGGATTTGGCAATATGGTGTTAGTGTGACTTTGACAAGAAAGATTTTGTGAAGGTATGGGAGCAAAAGTCAGCTTATGTTGGGCTCATGAATGAATGAGATAAAGAGAAAGGAGATGGCAAGCACAGACAAGACAGACAAAGGGAAATTTTCCATTAAGGGAAGCAGGGGGTGGAAGGGATCAAAGGAGCGCAATTTACAATAGATGATTGTAGTGTGTTTATAAAAGAAGAAGAATTAGCCAGTAGAGTGAGAATACTGATGATGCAGGAGTATAGACAACTGCAGGAGCAATGTCCTTGACAGGCAGAGGGGATGATCTAGGTTTCACCTGGAGAGGCTGGAATGTGGGCAGTCATCCAGGTAAGAAGAGAGAAGACAAACTGTAAGGGCACACATGTAGGTAGGTTGGTAGGTATGACTGGGAGGTACAAGTTCTCTTTGATTCATTCATTTATTTTTTCTTTGAAATGGAGTCTTGCTCTATTGCCCAGGCTGGAGTGCAGTGGCACACGGCTTACTGCAACCTCTGCCTCCCGCGTCCAAGCAATTCTCATGCCTCAGCCACCTGAGTAGCTGGGATTACAGGCATGCACTACCACGCCAGGCTAATTTTTGTGTTTTTAGTAGAAATGGGGTTTCACCATGTTGGCCACGCTGGTCTCGAACTCCTGACCTCAGGTGATCTGCCCACCTTTGCCTCCCAAAGTGCTAGGATTACAAGCGTGAGCCACAGGACTTGGCCAAGTTCAATGGTTTTTTGTTGTTTGTTTTTGTTTTTGTTTTGTTTTGTTTTTTTGAGACAGAGTCTCGTTCTGTCACCCAGGCTGGAGTGCAGTGGCACGATCTTGGCTCACTGCAAGCTCTGCCTCCTGGGTTCACGCCATTCTCGTGCCTCAGCCTCCCAAGTAGCTGGGACTACGGGCACCCGCCACCACGCCCAGCTAATTTTTTTGTATTTTTTAGTAGAGACGGGGTTTCACCTTGTTAGCCAGGATGGTCTCGATCTCCTGACCTTGTGATCTGCCCGCCTCGGCCTCCCAAAGTGCTGAGATTACAGGCGTGAGCCCCCGTGCCAGGACTTTTTTTTTCTTTTTTTGGAGACATATTTTCACTCTTTCGCCCAGGCTGGCGTGCAGTGGAGCAATCTCAGCTCACTACGGCCTCCACCTCCCGGGTTGCAGCGATTCTCATGCCTCAGCCTCTGAAGTATAGGCATGTGTCACCATGGCGGCTAATTTTTGTATATATATATATTTTTTAAGTAGAGATGGGGTTTCACCATGTTGGCCAGGCTGGTCTTGATCTCCTGACCTCGTGATCTGCCCGCCTTGGCCTCCCAAAGAGCTGGGATTACAGGCGTAAGCCACCACTCCCGGCCTTGTTTCAATTTTTAAATGAAATCAGTAGTCCTTAAGCGAGAGTGAGGATGGCAAAGGTAAGGAAGGTTCTGCAAGTTCTGCAAGGTTTTGCATGTTCTGGCTTCTCCCTGCCACCTCCCTGAGCTCATGTCCTACCACTCTCCCATTTATTTTCTCCACACTAGCTGTACTTTCTTCCTTGCACTTCCTTGATCATATCAAGCACACTTCTGCCTCGGGACCTTTTTGCACATGCAGTTCCCTCTGCCCAGGATAATCTTCCTTCAAATGTCCACATGGCACATTCCCTTACATCCTCTTGTTCTCATTCAAATGCCATCTTATCAAAGAAACCTCCGAGACTGGCCCATCAAAAATACTGCCCCCTCCTCACCTCTGTCACTATCTCTTTTTCTACTGTATTCTATGTCATTATATTTATCACCTATCTGAAAAGTATATTTACTTGCTTATTTATTTTCAACTGCACCCAGAATTTAAACTTCAAGAGTACCAGAAATACGTGTTTTGAAGAGGGAGAACGAGATCTAAAATAAAAGTCTTGGAGTATGGGAGCAAAAAGGGAAATGGAGCAGGAATACCAGGCAGCTCTTAAGGCCCTACCAAGGCCAGAGACTTAAAATGCTGTATCATTTTTAAATGAGCCAATATTTAGATTTATTTATTTATTTATTTATTTATTTATTTATTTTTTAATTTTTTGTTTAGACAGAGTCTCACTCTGTCGCCCAGGCTGCAGTGCAGTGGTGCAATCTCGGCTCACTGCAAGCTCTGCCTCCCGGGTTCATGCCATTCTCCTGCCTCAGCCTCCTGAGTAGCTGGGACTACAGGCGCCCACCACCACGCCCGGCTAATTTTTTGTATTTTTAGTAGAGACAGGGTTTCACCATGTTAGCCAGGATGGTCTCGATCTCCTGACCCCAGAGTGCTGGGATTACAGGCGTGAGCCACCGCGCCTGGCCCTAGAATTATTTTTTTTTACCTGGAAGAAAGAAAATCAGCTTTATAAACAAACAGGAGAGGTTTTCTTAGGAAAAAAAAAAGCTATAAGATGCCTGATGAAATGCTTTAGGTTGTCACCCAAATGGAGTTGCAGAATATGTCCCGAAAGCCCCAAAGCCTGATATCTCAGCTAACTTCTTTGCTCCCAAGATACCTTTTCACACCCATCTCATTCACCTCCTATTAGACGCTGGTGTTTTCTTTTTAAGAAATTCAAAGGAGCAGTCTGGAACAAGGAAGAGACTTTTCTACTCTCACTGCGAAAAGCTAAACAACCTTAAAAATTTTTTTAAAGCTGCCATTACTTATAGCTTTTTGGGTCTGTCTACGTAAAGCTGAGGGTTTGCTTTATCTTTTTTAGAATGGGACACTCTTTGCTTATAATATGTCTTATTATATATAAGTTTAGTTCTATCATAGTTGTAACTAGCCTAAAAGGGTAACAAGACAGAAATTGTCTCACTTGCTGAGGGAGAAAATGTATTCTCTGGAACAAAGAGTCCCTGGTCTAGTTGGGGTGACAGTCATCTAAACAATTATAATATCTTCTGTTATAATAGCAGCTTGCAAAAAGTTCCAGAGGTGTAAGGTAATGTTCCCTTCTTCCCAGGACCTATCTTGAGTTTCCTTGCCCATGAAAGATATGCTTTTGGTGATCCTGGCCAACCCCCCTCTAATAGTTTATTAAATTAAGGCCTTGCATTTCTTTGTATGGAAGATTCAGCCTAACATTACTGATCAGCCCTCAAAGGTATACAATGTGAACAGGTTCCCAAATCTCAGGGGCCTGTAACAGCTTGAATTTTGCTCATACTATAAGTCCAGCATGGCTGGCCGCCACTCTGCTTCATGTCATCTTCTTAGAGACTCAGGATAAGCCAGCACAAACTTCCTGGGATGGGGCTGGTCAGTGACAGGGGGAAAGCAATTCAGCAAAGCACAAACTGCCCTTCAACTCTTGCGTAGATGTGATCCACATCACTTCTCATATTCCACTGGCAAAAGCAATTCTCATGCCAAGCCTGACTTGAATGGACTGGGAAAGTAGACTCTTCTCCCAGGGAGGACAAACAAGCAGACATTGGTAAACAGTAATACAGCCTACCAAAGAAACTTCCCCTGCTCTCCCCAGAAAGTTCATCACTGCTTTTTTTACATTTCTATAACTTTTGCATGACTCTATGATAACAGAGGATATTATAATTGTTTACATCACTATTGTAAGGGATAATTGGAAGGACAGTCGAGAAAGGAATGAGGTCAATAGACCCAAGTTCAGGCAAGCTGATTTATTGTCAGTCCTGCCAGGCTACCTTTGACAAAAGCAGAGGAGGCAGCCCCACTTACAGGCTATAGCAGGGTTTTATAGGGTGTAGAACTGGGTCAGGGTGAAGAAAAAATTAAAAAAGTGTGGGGGGGTCCTATGTGCCAGGTGTCTGGCCGCTTCCTGGAGATGTTTTTCTTGCCAGTTCTGTTATGCAAGGTAGACGTCTTAACTGCGTCCTGAAACAGCTGGCCTCTGGTCAAACAGTTACAGGCGGATTTGGGATGGGGGTTTTACTTTTTGGCCTTTGGGGCTTAGGTCTATGGGAGGGGTAAACAGTTCATCTGGGTAGACCCTAACATTCCAGCCTTTTAATAGATGATAGAGAAGGGGCGTTGATTTCATCAGACTGCTTCAAGTTGAGAGGGGGCGGTGACTAGGGGAAAGGCTGGAAAGTAGGGGTTGGCTTTGGTTTTGAAATTGTTGATACTCCTGGAGTAACATCATGCCCTGTATGGTTCCGTGGGCAAAAGCTCAGATACAGTTCTGTAAAAACTGGGTGAGGAGGCGTATTAAGCAAGGCCCGAAGATTAGGAGAAGAAAAAGGATTATATCCGGTACAAGGAGAGGGAGTAGCCAGGGGGCCCAGGTGCTGACAGACCAAGAGGCCCAAGAGGGCCAGGTAGAGGGGCTGCTTTCCCTGATCTTTTGGGCTCGATCTTTGAGTTTTTTAGTGCATCTTGAACTAAGCCTAACTGATTAAAATAAAAGCAGCATTCTTTGTCTAGGAAAATAGAGTCCTCCTTTGTCAGCAGTCAGTAGGTCGAGACCTCTGTGATTTTGTAAGGCGACTGCCACTAGAGAGTCTAGCTGAGCTTGTAAGGTGGATATGGAAGTTGCAAGGTCATCTATACCATCTGAAAGGCCTTTTGATAAGGTTTTATGGTAATAAGAGGAAGCTGTGACTCCTGCTACTCCTGTGCCCATGGCTGCTGTGATGCCCAGGCCTATGAGTAATGGGATAAGCTGTATGGCCCGGTGCCTGTGGTGTGGGATTTGAGTATTTAGGGTTTGGAGGGGCAGGTTTTCTCCTGGAGCTATGCCCATTTTAGGGCTGAGGAAGACCAGTGTACAGGGGCCTGTCCGGTTGGTGGGAAGACAGAGGTAGATGGAGGTGCCGCATAGAAAGAATGCACCTTGTCTAGGGAGGCAGAATTGGAAATGTATGGCAAAAAGGAAGTGTAAAATGTTGTTCTCTGAGCGCCAGGCGTGGAGGGAGGAGGCTAGAGCCGCTCCGGTTAGGGGTTGAAGGGGGTGTGTTGAGTTGAGCTGGCTAGCTCCTACTGTTGAGTTTTCTAAGTGTAGAATGAAACATTCTGTATCAATAAGTAGTCTGTTTGAAGGTGTGTTAGGCAGTGGGATTTCCATGCATTCGGAAGCGGGGACGGGGTCTAGACAAGTGCTCCACCCTGCGATTTCTATGCAGGGCCTGTGTCAGTTATTGCAGAATCCTGATGTTTCTCCCGTGACTCAGGTCTGAGGGGGGTTGGAGATTTTGAGAGTTTGTGTGGGGTTTGTTACTGTTACTGTTTGGATGCCTGTCGGGGGAGTGAGTGTCAGGGTATAGTTGCATAAGCTAGAGGAGAGGGTGCCTAGGGGGACTCCTGAGGAAAGTTCACGCTTTATGCATAGGGATGCTTGTTGGCTTAGTTTTGAGTCTGAGGTAAGTGCTCCTAAGATAACCTTGTGTTGTGAAGTATGTACGCTAAGATTAAGTTTGTAAATTTTGAGTGCATTTACTCCTCCGAAACTTTGGTAGCGGGGGTGGAGGGTTATACTGGTGAGAACCCAGTCTTTGAGGGGAACTGGGAAGGCATCCTTTGATATGGTTTCTGAGGGGTGTACACAGAACCAGCAGGCCTTGGCCAGGGAGGGGTTAGTTTGAGTATCGTATGTGCCTGTTGAATGGTGCGCTGAAGGTGAAGCTGTAGTGAGGATGAGGAGGAGGAGGGAAGAAGAAGTAAATAGATAGACAGCAAGTGTAAAGGTAAAGAATTCGGCTTCATCTGGAGTGAATTCCTGTAAATCCCCTTGAAATATAAGATCAGTGATCCAGTCAAGGAATGCCGTGAGGGTGGGATGTTCTGGGTAGGACCATGAAATGTTTTCTGTGATGCAGTGAAGGAAGAGGGTGAAACAGCAGGACGGGCAAAGACAGGACATTAAGGAGGGGCAACTACTTGTTGGTGGCTGTTATACCTGCTATAAGGAGGATTATGAGGCAAAAGTTTGCAGATACTGAGATTTTTTGTTTGAAATCCCACCCAGGAAGTGAGACAGTATATAGTCCTATGGCAAAGAGTAGAGTAAGTACGCTGATTCCTGCAAGGGCAGCGTAATAGATGATTTCCATTAATAAGGGTTTGGATACTTAATGGTAGGGGGTGACAACTTATCTGTTACGGTTCATGGGGGAAGAGTGAGGTCTTCTGGGATGGGTGTTAGGCGGAATCAAGTTGGTCCGAGAAGAGTGCTGGAGTATTTGCAGGGAACAGCTGGTTGGTTAGTTGGTGGCGGGTCAGCTGCAGGGGCCCTTTTTAACCTGGAAAGATGGTATCAAGAGTTGTGTCCTGAAAGTTTGGCTGCGGTGGGGGTAGTGAGAAGGACTTGGAAAGGGCCTTGTCACTTTGGTTTGAGACTCGTTGGAGTAAGGGTTTTTAGAAAGACATATTCTCCAGGAAGGAGTGCCTGGTCGGTGGGGCCTTGGTGGGGTTTTGGGAGGGCCTAGTCAGCTTGTTTGCGGAGAATATGACACATGAGGGAGAGTGTTGGAAGGTGCTCTCCTAATTGAGAGTTAGGAGGGGGTCTGTTTTGTGAGAGGAAAGGGCATCCATACATTAACTCAAATGGACTGAGGAAGGAGGGGGCTTTTGGACTGGCTCCGATGCGAGCCAGTGCTATGGATAAAAGGGAGGTCCAAGGTTTTTTGACCTCAAGTGTGAGTTGGGTTAACTGAGTTTGAGAATTCCGTTTGCCCGCTCGATTTCTGCGGATGACTGGGGCTGGTATGGGATATGGAGGCACCACTGAACACCAAGGGATGGGGACACCTGTTGGGTAATTTGGGAGATGAAACTAGGCCCATTGTCTGATTATATGGAGAGAGGGAGACCAAATCTAGGGAAGATTTCTGATATGAGAATTTGAGAGACTTCTGCAGCTTTTTTTGAAGGGGTAGGAAATGCTTCTACCTAACCTGAAAAAGTGTCTACGGGGGTAAGAAGATATTTAGTTTTTTTTGATGGGAGGCATGTGGGTGAAGTTTACTTGCCAGTGCTCCCTGGGAGTGTTCCTCTGAGCTGGCGTGTAGGGATGAGGAGAGGGCAAAGAGCCCCTTGGGAGGAAGTAACGAGCATATACGACAGTTTGAGGTTATGTCCTTTAGTGAGGCGAATAGATTGGGGGACGAGAAACAAGGGCGAAGGAGTAGGTACTGCCGGCGTGCATCAATATGGAAGGATTGGTGAAGAGGTGTTAGAATTTCCTTGGTTTGCTCTTGGGGAAGAATGAGCTTTTGATCTTTTATTATCCAGTCCCCTTGAAGGGAGGTTCCTTGCTGTAGTAGCAAAGCCTTTTTGGTGGGAGGGTATCTGGGTGGGACTGCTGGGGTGACAAGGACGATGGGGGCAAGGAGAGGAGAAAGGGAGGCCGTTTTCCTGCCTCATCGGCCTTTTTATTTCCTCTTGAGATTTTATCTGATCCTGTTTGATGTTCTCAACAGCGTATGACTCCTGCTTCAGTTGGGAGGTGTGTGGCCTGAAAGAGTTGTTAAGTAAGGGGGCCATTAGTAATGGGGGTTCTTTTGGTGATAAGGAATCCTCTCTTGCCAGATGGTAGCATGGGAATGAAGAATGTGATAGGCATACTTGGAGTCTGTGTATGTGTTGACCCGTTTGTCTTTGGAGAGGGTTAGGGCTCTGGTGAGAGCTATGAGTTCTGCATTCTGGGAGGAGGTTCCTGGGGGTAGGGTTTAGCCTCAATTACATGGTTTAAGGTAACTACTACGTACCCAGCAATTTTGGGAGAGCCGGGGGCTCCAGAAGAGGAGCCATCTATGAATAGTGGCCATCTGGGTTAGTGAGAGGCTCGAAGGAGATGTTAGGGAAGTGTGGCTGCAGGTGATCCAGAATGTCAGTGCAAGAATGAGTAGGAGGGGAAGAGGATATGGGGAGTAGGGATGCTGGGTTGAGGGGGGTGCTTTTGGCAAGGCTGAATTTGGGATTTTCGATAAAGAGGGCATGCAGTAACTGAATTCGGGAAGGAGAGAGGGAGCTTAACGCCTGAGAGGAGAGGAGATCCTGTAAGTTGTGAGGGCTGTGGACGGTGGTGCTTTGGCCAAATGTTACTTTCCAGAGCCAAAACGGCCGCTGCTGCTAATGCTCTAAGACAGGTTGGCCACGCTCTGACAGTGTTGTTTAATTGTTTAGAGAGGTATGCCACAGGGGCAAAGGAAGGAGGATTTCCCTTTTGTTGCCCTAAGACCCTGAGAGCTATTCCTTGGTTTTCGGTGGTATAAAAAACGAAGGGTTGGAAGATGTCAGGTAAGGACAGGGCAGGTGCAGTGACGAGAGCAGTTTGGAGTTTACAGAAACCGGGAAGTATGTTGTGTGAGGGGCTTAGGGGTTCACTGAGGGGGCCTTTGGCTGCTTCGTAGAGGGGCCGAGCCAGGAGAGCAAAGTTGGGAATCCATATTCTAAAGAAACCTGCTAGTCCTAAGAAAGAGAGAATTTCATTTTTTGAGGAAGACGGAGGCAAGGTGTTTATTAAGGTTGCTCAGGCCGGCGTCATGGCTTGGGCACCAGGGGGAGAGTTGGCCTCCTAAGTATGTTACTGTTGGGGCGGATAGTTGGGCTTTGGAGGGGGAGACCCTATATTCTTTGCTAGCAAGAAAGTTTAGAAGGGTGATGGTGTGAGTTTGAGAGTCCTCTAGGGAGGGGCTGCAAAGAAGGAGATCGTCAATGTATTAGAGAAGGTGGCTGGGGGAACAGTTTAAGGAGGTGAGGTCTTGGGCTAGAGCTTGTCCAAAGAAGTGAGGGCTGTCTCTGAAGCCTTGAGGGAGGACAGTCCATGTGAGTTGTTGTGACTGAAAAGTGTCAGAATCAGTCCAGGTGAAGGCGAAGAGGTCTTGGGAATCAGAGTGTAAGGGAATGGTGTAAGGGAATGGTGTAAGAAAGCATCCTTTAGGTCGATTGCTGTATAGTGGGTGGTGTTGGAGGGGATGAGGGTGAGAAGTGTATAGGGGTTAGGGACCACAGGGTAAATAGGGAGGACAGCCTGAATGATGGCTCAGAGGTCCTGAACGAGTCGGTATGAGCCGTCAGATTTTCTAACGGGAAGGATGGGGGTGTTATATGGAGAATGTGTTGGTCTAAGAAGACCACATGAGTAGAGCTTGTTTATAACAGGTTGGAGGCCCTTTTGGTGGGTTAGGGAGACGGGGTATTGGGGAATGTTAGGAAATTTGAAGGGATCCTTTAACAGGATTTTGATGGGGTTATGGTGTGCAGCTTCGGAAGGGGTGGTGGTATCCTACACCACTGGGTTAACGAGGGAGGAGGGAAGCAGGTACTAGGGAGAAGGGTCAGGGGCTGGACTAGTGGAGAGGAGCAGAAGGGACTCTGGTTGAGAGAGGCAGGAAAAAGTGATGGAAGCTTTGAATTTAGTTAAAAGGTCTTGGCCTAGAATGGGGGTGGGACAACCAGGCATGGTAAGGAAGGAGTGTGTAAAAACAGTATTAAACTAGAAACAAGTAAGGGACTCAGTGGTGTGTGGATGTGAGATGAATCCATCAACCCCCACGACAGAGACCTGGGAGGGATGAGTGGGTCCTGAAAATTCAGGCAAAGCCAAGTAGGTGACCCCAGTATCGATTAAAAAGGAGACTGGCTTTTACCTGCTACTAGCAGAGTTACCTGCTACTAGCAGAGTTACCCTTGGCTCTGATGCAGTGATGGCAGATGGGGCCAGGGGCCCTGGGCTCCATCAGTCTTCAGTGGCCAGGCCAAGGAGCTGCAGGAAGGTGAGTGGTTTTTCACTCTCTGCCTTGCCAGGGCTTTGAGGAGTTGGTCTGTTAGCCTGGTTGTTAAGTGGACAATCAGACTTCCAGTGGCCAGTCTGTTGGCAGGCTGGGCAAGGAGTTTTTGGTGTCCTTGGGTGAAGACATGCCCGTGCCCAGTGACCTTCTTTGCCGCACTTAAAACAAGGACTGGGGAGGTTACTGCCATTGGGTTTTTTGTGCCCTTGGGTACTATGGCTAGGCTGACAGATAGCTGCTGCCAGAAGCTGGTATTTAGCACGATCTCTTTGGGTCTTGTCTAATTTAATCTGCTCATCCCTGTTTATTGAAGACTTTGAAAACCAGGGTAAGGAGGTCTTATTGTGGGGTTTGGGGGCCATCTTCAGCTGTTTTAAGTTTGCATTGTATGTCAGGAGCAGACTGAGAGATGAAATGGGTATTAAGAACAATAGTTCCTTCCTGGGAGGTGGGGTCAATGTGGGTATATATTTGGAGGGCCTCTGTAAGGCGGGAAAGAAATTCGGCAGGGTTTTTGTTGGCTCTTTGGGAGATTTCTTTGAGCTTTTCAAAATTTACAGCTTTATGGGCTGCTTTGTTAAGGCCTATGATGAGGCAAATAATCATATGGTTACAAGATGCCCGGTCGGGGTCTGTGGGTTGGTACTTCCAGGGGGGTTCCTCCTGGGGAGCTGCAGCAGCCCCTGTGGACTTAGTAGGGTCTTGCCGATGAAGATCATCTGCATGCGCCTGTGCTGCAAGCCACACTCTTTCCTTTTCTTCTGAAAGGAGAGTAGAAGAGAGGATAATGTAGAGATCATGCCAAGTAAGTTCATAAGATTGGGTGAGATATTTAAATTCTTTGATGTAAGTGTTGGGATCAGAGGAAAAGAACCCGAGACATTTTTCAATTTGGGAGAGGTCAGAGAGGGAGAAAGGAACGTGGACGCAAATGATGCCTTCGGCTGTGGCCACCTCTTGGAGGGGAAGTATGGGGGCTGGTTGTTGGGCATGCTGAGTTTGAGAGCGGGTATGACGTGGAGATGGGGATGAATCAGAGTCAGAAGCTGGGTGGTTGGAGCCGGGGGGAAAGACAGAGGGCAGGAGCATGGGGTGGAAGGTCATGATGATGGGGCGGAGGATTATTATGTTGAAGGGGCAGGGGGAAGTCGGCAGGGTCAAAGAAGAAGGAATTGTCAGAAGGAAAGGAAGCTGAGGATGAGTCTGGCCTGGAGTGGGCAAGGAGGATTTGGAAAGCAGAACAGGACTGACAAAGGGAGGGGAGGCTACAGAGGGCAAAAAAAGGCCTGAATGTAAGGGATTTCAGACCACTTTCCATTCTGATGGCAAAAGTTGTCTAGGTCCCTGAGGAGGTTAAAATCGAATGTGCCATTTTCAGGCCATTGAGAGCCATCGTCCAATTTATACTGAGACCAGGCTGTGTTACAATAAAAGATGAGCCTTTTTGGCCAAATTTCAGAATGGAGGCCAAGGGCATTAAGGTTGTGGAGGAGACATCCGAGGGGGCCCGTCTTTGAGGGAGTGGACTCAGAGGCTCCCATGGTAGAATGAGTGAGGGAGAGGTGGAGATGGGAGACTTCGCCAGAGACTAGAACGATGGGAGAACATGTCCTCTATCCCACAGTTCAAGTCGGAGAGGTGCGATAATCCCCCGTTCAGGTGTCCCTGAAAGGGAGATACTGAGGGCCTGGAGGCCAGGAGGAGGAAACCCTTGGCCTAGCACTGGGTCTTTCAGGAAAGGAGAAGCAGACAAGGGTTCCGATGGAAGGCAGAAGTCTCCTTTACTCACCCCTGAGGCGGTCTTGGTGTCGGATGTGTTTGCCAGCAATGGAGAAGAGTAGAAGATCCCATGGATCTTTGGGCAGGTTCAGGAAGGGGGAGTTCGACCGGGGGAAGGGAGGGAAAGAAAGGGAGGTCGAATTCTACCACCTTCCCAGGTTTCGGCACCAAGATGTAAGGGATAATTGGAAGGACAGCCGAAAAAGGAATGAGGCCAATAGACCCAAGTTCAGGCAAGCTGATTTATTGTCAGTCCTGCTGGGCTACCTCTTGACAAAAGCAGAGGAGGCAGACCCACTTACAGGCTATAGCAGGGTTTTATAGGGCATAGAACTGGGTCAGGGTGAAGGAAAAAGAAAAAGGTGGGGGGTCCTTTGTGCCAGGTGTCTGACCGCTTCCTGGAGATGTTTTTCTTGCCAGTTCTGTTATGCAAGGTAGACGTCTTAACTGCATCCTGGAACAGCTGGCCTCCAGTCAAAGAGTTACAGGCAGATTTGGGGTAGGGGATTTTACTTTTTGGCCTTTGGGGCTTAGGTCTATGGGATAGGGAAACAGTCCAGTTGGGTGGACCCTAATAACTATCACCCCAACTACACCAGGGACACACTTTAAGGATGAGGACTGCCTTTTATTGTTTTGTCACTTACACAGTACCTAGGACATAGCAGATGCACTGTTGAATTAAATAGGATTGGATGGATTGATTAGGACTGGATGAATTGAATAGGATTAGGTGGATTGTATTGGACTGGACTGGAGTAAAACAGAGAATCTGGGCTGGGTGTGGTGGTTCATGCCTGTAATCCTAGCACTTTGGGAGGCCAAGGCAGGCAGATCACTTGAAGCCAGGAGTTCGAGACCAGCCTGGTCAACATGGCAAAACCCTGTCTCTACTAAAAATACAAAAATTAGCTGGGCGTGGTGGCACATGCTTGCAATCCCAGCTACTTGGGAGGCTGAGGTGGGAGAATTGCTTGAGCCCAGGAGGCAGAGATTGCAGTGAGACAAGATTGCACCACTGCACTCCAGCCTGGCGACAGAGTGAGCCTCCATCTCAAAAACAAAAACAAAAACAAAAACAAAACAACAGGGCTGGGCATGGTGGCTCACGCCTGTAATCCCAGCACTTTGGGAAGCTGAGGTGAGTGGATCACGAGGTCAGGTGGTCAAGACCAGCCTGGCCAACATGGCAAAACCCTGTCTCTACTAAAAATACAAAAATTAGCTGGGCATGGTGGTGCATGCCTGTAATCCCACCTACTTGGGAGGCTGAGAGAGAATTGCTTGAGCCTAGGAGGCGGAAGTTGTAGTGAGCCAAGATCATGCCACCGCACTCCAGCCTGGGAGACAGAGCGAGATTCCATCTCAAAAAATAAAAAATTAACAGAGTATCTTAATCCATCTGTTGGCGTGCTGTATGAATATAAGCCCGGATAGAATATAGCATAAGGCAAAATTAGTCTAGATGGGACTTAGAATGTAGAGATCTGCTTGTCCAATGATGATGCTTTACTGATGAGAAAATTAAAGCCTAGATAGAAGTGATGGCTGGTCTGACACCACATGCGGAGTCAGTAAAGAACCAGGCCTCCAGTTCCCTGGTTTCATTCTCTTTCCATCATAGCCTGAAGCCTCTTTTGTAACAACAACAACACAATCACCACCTGATGTTTATGTACTTATCCACTTATAAAATATATATTCTAAGTAAAAATATAAATTTTAAAAAATGATAAGCAAAAGCCACCCTCCCCATATCTTGCCTCCACCCCAGCTCTGGACAAATAACCACTGCTGGGCCGGGCACAGTGGCTCACGCCTATAATCCCAGCACTTTGGGAGGCTGAGACAGGTGGATCACCTGAGGTCAGGAGTTCAAGACCAGCCTGACCAACATGGAGAAATCCCCATCTCTACTAAAAATACAAATTAACCGGGTGTGGTGGCGCATGCCTGTAATCCTAGCTACTCAGGAGGCTGAGGCAGGAGAATTGCTTGAATCCGGGAGGCGGAGGTTGTGGTGAGCTGAGATCACGCCACTGCACTCCAGCCTGGGCAAAAAGAGCAAAACTCTGTCTCAAAAAAAACAAAACAAAACAAAAAACAACCATTATTGGCACCTGCTTGTGTGTCTTACAGGAATTTTCCATTCATGCACAGCATATATATATGTTGTTATTATTATTATTTTTGAGACAGTCTCGCTCTGTCACCCAGGCTGGAGTGCAGCAGCACAATTTCGGCTCACTACAACCTCCGCCTCCTGGGTTCAAGCAATTCTCCTGCCTCAGCCTCCCGAGTAGCTGGGATTACAGGTGCGAGTCACCACGCCTGGCTAATTTTTGTATTTTTAGTAGAGATGGAGTTTCACCATGTTGGTCAGGCTGGTCTCGAACTCCTGACTTCGTGATCCACCTGCCTCAGCCTCCCAAAGTGCTGGGATTACAGGCATGAGTCACCATGCCCGACCTGTGGTTATTTTTCATACAAATCATATAATACATGTGGTTATGCCCTTTGATTTTTTTACCCAGCAATATATCCTGAACACTTTTAATAGAATCCAGAGTCTACACCCTTGTTTAATGGCTGCATGATATTCCATTATAAGCACCATAATTTATATAGCTAGTTATTAGTATACATTTAAACATTTCTTGTCTTTTAATATCACAAAGGAGGCTGGGCACAGTGACTCAAGCCTATAATCCCAACACTTTGGGAGGCCAAGGTGGGCAGATCACTTGAGCCCAGGAAATCAGCCTGGGCAATATAGTGAAACCCCGTTACAAAAAAAAAAAAAAAAAAAAAAGCCAGGTATGGTGACTCGAACCTGTAGTCCCTGCTACAAGGGAAACAGGTGAGAAGATTGCTTGAGCCCCGGGAGGTCGAGGCTGCAGTGAGCCGTCATTGCACCATTGCACTCCAGCCTGGGCAACAGACTCAGTCCCTGTTTTAGAAAAATACGTATCACAAAGGATGGAAATATGTCACCAATGTATTCGAGACTCCCTCATTTATATCTCAAGCCTTCACCTCTCCCCTAGATTCTTATAGGCCCTAACTACTTGGTATCTTCACTTTTAATATCTAATAGACATCAAAAACTTACCCAGAAGAGTAGAAGATAATTCTTTTTTTTTATTATTTTTATTTTTGAGACAGAATCTCGCTCTGTCACCCAGGCTGGAGTGCAGTGGCATGATTTCGGCTCACTGCAACCTCTGCATCCCAGGTTCAAGCAACTCTCCTACCCTCAACCTCCTGAGTTAGCTGGGACTACAGGTGCGTGCCACCGCACCCAGCTAATTTTTGTATTTTTAGTAGAGACAGGGTTTCGCCATGTTGGCCAGGCTGGTCTCGAACTCCTGACTTCAGGTAATCCACCCACCTCAGCCTCCCAAAGTGCTGAGATTACAGGTGTGAGTCACTGCACTTGGCCCAGAAGAGAATTCTTGTCTATCCCCATCAAATCTTTCCTTTCTTAATATCCCTCTTTTCAATTAATGGCACCTCCATCCATCCAGTAATACAGACTAAAATATTAATATTAGCAGTCATTATTATTGCCTATCTTTTCCTCTACTCACATATCCAATTTCTCATTGGCTTCACAGTATGTCCTAAATTCCCCTACTTTCTCTGATCTGCACTGCTCTCTCCCTAGGCTAAGCTCTTCCCATGCTTCCCCTGGTCTACTGCTATCATCTCCTGGCTGGTTTGTTTCTCTGCTTCTGCTTTTAACCCTGCAGCTCCATTCACTACCAAGTAGCTAGAGTGCTCTGTTGCTTCTTTATCGTATGTACACAAGTGTATCCAATATATAAATTCTAGGTTAAGAAATTATAAAAACAAACACCAAACACCCATCATCCAGTTTAGCAAAGAGACTATCACCAATACATAATCTTTTTTTTTTTTTTTTTTGAGATGGAGTCTGTCGCCAGGCTGGAGTGCAATGGCGTGGTCTTAGCTCACTGCAACCTCCACCTCCAAGGTTCAAGTGATTCTCCTGCCTCAGTTTCCCGAGTATGGGGGATGACAGGCGCCCGCCACCATGCCTGGCTAATTTTTGTAGTTTTAGTAGAGACGGGGGTTTCATCATGTTGGCCAAGCTGGTCTTGAACTCCTGACCTTGTGATCCACCCGACTTGGCCTCCCAAAGTGCTGGGATTACAGGCGTGAGCCACTGTGCCTGGTCACCAATACATAATCTTGAAGCTCCCCTACCCCTTCACGAATGCCCTTCTTCAATCATATACCTGCCCTCCCCACAAAGGTAGCCACTTTATTGACTTTTATGCTCCTAACTCACTGTGTTTTTTACTGTTTTTACCACCTGTGTAATTTTCCCTACAACAGTAAAGTAACTAATCCTTAGTAAGATTTCTGGTTCTCAGCTCCTTCTGGACATCCACAAATTTGCTATTAGGCATAATCATCTGAATTAAGTAATGAAATGTAAGGAGAAGTGACACATATGAAAATGTAGGCTGGGCATGGTGGCTCACACCTGTAATCGCAACACTTTGGGAGGCCGAGGTGGGAGAATTGTTACTGAAACATCAGAAGTTTGGTCTGGGTCCTGCTGTTGGCTGCACAGTAAGGCAGTCACTGAGATGACGAATATTGCCAAGGAAGAAGGCTTTAATCAGGTGCAGCAGAGGCGATGGGAGCTCATCTCAAATCCACCTCCCTTAGCTACTAAAACTAGGGATTTACATAGCAGGGAAGAAATGTAACAATGTATAAGAAAACAGGAACTAGGGAGAGGCAAGGAAGCAATCATGATGAATGAGGGGTCTGGCATCTCATTGTCTGGATGTGGTCGTCTGGTGAGTTTCAGTTCTATACTTTTTGGAGAGGCCTGAAGGTCCTTTCCTGAGGAAGGAACTCAGATAAAACAAATGTAAGCTTCAAGCTTTAAGACCAGAGTCAATATCTATCTTTGTCCAAAAAACAAACAAAAAACAAAAACAAACAAAAAAACTGTTTTGGGACTATTGGGTCGGTTTCAGAATCACTTGAGGCCAAGAGTTAAAGACCAGCCTGGGCAACATAGCAATACCCTCTCTCTACAAAAAAAGACAAAAAAAAAAAATCAGTGGTGGTGTTTGTTTGCCTGTAATCCCAGCTACTGAGGAGGCTGAGGCAGGAGGATCACCTGAGCTCAGGAGATTGAGGCTGCAGTGAGCTGTGATTGTGCCACTGCACTACAGCCTGGGACACAAGAGCTAGACTCTGTCTCAAAAACAGAAAATAAAAATAAAATGTAATGATTTTAAATTAAGTTTTGAATATAGTTTCATAAAGTATATTATTCTAAATTTACAATTGAGCTTTTCTAAAAACATTCATGATACTTTTCTTTTTTCTTTTTTTTTTGAGACGGAGTCTTGCTCTGTTGTCCAGGCTGGAGTGCGGTGGCACAATCTCAGCTCACTGCAAGCTCCGCCTCCTGGGTTCACGCCATTCTCCTGCCTCAGCCTCCTGATTAACTGGGACTGCAGAAGCCCACCACCACACCCGGCTAATCTTTTGTGTTTTTAGTAGAGACGGGGTTTCATCCTGTTAGCCAGGATGGTCTCGATCTCCTGACCTCGTGATCTGCCCGCCTCCGCATCCCAAAGTGCTGGGATTGCAGGCTTGAGCCACCGCACCTGGCCACATTCAAGATACTTTTCTCTTGTCTCCTGGCTTCTAATGTTGCAGTGAAGAAGTCAGCTACAAATCTAATTGCCGTTTCTTTATGGTGAGTCATCTTTTCTCTCTGGCTGCTTTTAAAATATTCTTTTATTTTTGGTTCCCTGCAGTTTTACTTAGTTATAGTGAGGTGTGTATTTTTTTTTTTTTTTTTTTTTTTTGAGACGGAGTCTCGCTCTGTTGCCCAAGCTGGAGTGCAATGGCTCAATCTCTGCGCACTGC